>NC_000004.12:85891077-86042593 GCF_000001405.40 Homo sapiens | reverse complement strand
TAAAAAACTATACTTTTACTCCACCATTCCTCCCACATTTAAAATTTTTGATGTCACAATTAACATATTTTTATATTGTGTATCCCTTAACACTTTTTTTTAAAATTTTACTTTAAGTTCTGGGATACATGTGCAGAACGTGCAGGTTTGTTACATAGGTAAATATGTGCCATGGTGGTTTGCTGCACCTATCAACCCAGCTTCTAGGTTTTAAGCCCAGCATGCATTAGGTATGGTCCTAATGCTCTCCCTTCCCTTGCCCCCAACCCTCTGACAGGTCCTGGTGTGTGATGTTCTCCTCCCTGTGTCCATGTGTTCTCATTGTTCAACTCTCACTTATGAGTGAGAACACGCAGTGTTTGGTTTTTTGTTCCTGTGCTAGTTGTTAGTTTGCTGAGGATGATGGCTTCTAGCTTCATCCATATCCCTGCAAAGGACATGAACTCATTCTTTTTTATTGCTGCATAGTATTCCAAGGTGTATATGTGCCACATTTTCTTTATCCAGTCTATCATTGATGGGCATTTGGGTTGGTTCCAAGTATTTGCTATTGTATATAGTGCTGCAATAAACATATGTGTGCATGTGTCTTTAGAACAGAATAATTTAGAATCCTTCGGATATATACCCAGTAATGGGATTGCCGGGTCAAATGGTATTTCTGGTTCTAGATCTTTGAGGAATCACTACATTGTCTTCCACAATTGCTGAACTAATTTACACTCCCAGCAACAGTGTAAAAGCGTTCCTGTTTCTCCACAGCCTCGCCAGCATCTGTTGTTTCCTTTTTAATAATCACCATTGTAACTGGCATGAGATGGTATCTCACTGTGGTTTTGATTTGCACTTCTCCAATGACCAGTGATGATGAGCTTTTTTTCACATGTTTGTTGGCCACATAAATGTCTTCTTTTGAGAAGTGTCTGTTCATGTCCTTCGCCCACTTTTTGATGGGGTTGTTTGTTTTTTTCTTGTAAATTTGGTAGATTCTGGATATTAGACCTTTGTCAAATGAGTAGATTGCAAAAATTTTCTCCCTTTCTGTAGGTTGCCTGTTCAGTCTGATGATAGTTTCTTTTGCTGTGCAGAAGCTCTTTAGTTTAATTAGATCCCAATTGTCAATTTTTCTTTTGTTGCAATTGCTTTTGGTGTTTTAGTAATGAGGTCTTTGCCCATGCCTATGTCCTGAATGGTATTGCCTAGGTTTTCTTCTAGGGTTTTTATGGTTTTGGGTTTTACATTTAAGTCTTTAATCGATCTTGAGTTAATTTTTGTATAAGGTGTAAGGAACGAGTCTGGTTTCAGTTTTCTGCATATGGCTAGGCAGTTTTCCCAGCATCATTTATTAAATAGGGAATCTTTTCCCCATTGCTTGTTTTTGTCAGGTTTGTCGAAGATCAGGTGGTTGTAGATGCCTTAACACATTATTGTAGCTATTGTTATTCTTAGTAGTTTTTTTCTTTTCACCTTCATGGTAAAGATATAGGTGAATTACATACCACCATTACAGTATTAGGGTGTTGTGAGTTTGACTGTGTACTTATCTTTGTAAGTGAGTTTTACACTTTCACATGTTTTTGTGTCACTAATTAGAATGCTTTTCTTTTAGCCTGAAGAACTCTCTTAAGCATCTTCTTGTGAGACAGGTCTGGTGGTGAACTCCCTCAACTTTTGTTGTGGAAAGACTTTATCTCTCCTTTTCTGAAGGACAACTTTGTGGGGTACAGTATTCCTAATTGATAGTTTTTTTATTTTATTTTAACATTTTGATTATGTTGTCCCATACACTCCTGGCCTGTAAGGTTTCTGCCGAAAAATCTGCTAGCTTGATAGGAACATTCCCTTAAATGTTATTTGCTTCTTTTCTCTTGGTGCCTTTAGGATCCTTTCTTTGTCTTTGATTTTTGTTGATTTCATTATGATATATCTTGGTGTAATCTTGTTTGAATTGAATCTGATTAGAGAACTTTAACTTTCCTCTACGTGAATATGTCTTTCCCAAGATATGAAAACATTTCTGTTATTATTTCCTTAAACATACTTCCTACCCCTTTGTCTTTCTCTTCTTGAACTAAAAAATGTGCTCTTTTGATGCTCTCCCATAAATCACATAAACTTTCTCTATTTGTTTTCATTTTTTCTCTTCTGACCATATATTTTTAAATAACTTGTCTTCAAGGCTACAAATTCTTTCTTCTCCTTCATCAATCCTACTATTGCATTTTTCATTCATTCATTATATTCGGCAATAGGATTTCTCTTTGTCTTTGAAAAATAATTTCAATCTCTCTATTAAATTTGTTTTATTTATTGTTTTCTTGATTTTATGAAATTGTTTCCCTGTAATTTTTTTGAAGTTTGTTGAGCTTCCTTAAAACAATTATTTTGACTTTTTTGTCTCTTAGTTTATATATTTCCACTTCTCTTGACTCAGCCACTGGGAGATTTTTGTATTTTTTTGGTGGTTTATGTCACCTCAGCTTTTCATGTTTCTTATTTCCTTACACTGATGTCTGTGCATCTGAAGAAGTAAGGGCTTATTCCAGTCTTTGCAGACTGGCTTTGTCTGGGAAAACTCTTTATCAGTCAGCCTTTCCATAGAACCTGTGCATGCCATTTGGTGTCGTCTAAGGGTAGGCCTGCTGTTGGAGTCCTCAGGTAGGTTGGCTGGGCTTGGTGTCTGGGTGCCTGGGTCAGCAGGTGGGTGGGTCTATAGGGTTGGGCCTAAGTCTAGATCCACAAGTGTGGACCTATTGATTGAGTCCCCATGGATAGGCCTGAAACCTGGGTACACAAGGGCAGACCTGACGCCTATGTCTGCAAATATTTGCCTACATCTGTAGAGGCTGGCCTTATCCTTGGGTCCACAGGGGGCTACTTGGCTCTGGGATTGGCTTTGAGTCTGAGTCTGCAGGAAATAGTCAGTTACTGGGATGGATCTGATGTCCAGGATTATAGGGGACAGCCCAGTGCTGGAGAAGTTCCAGAGGCTGGGCTGCTAAGGTAGACCTGGCAGTAGAGTGGCCCAGAGACCAAGTCTGCTGTATAGACCTTGAGTCTAAGGCTATAAGCCCCTGATCAGTGCTGGGAAAGGTGTGGAAGCTCAGTCCACAAGTACTAGCCTGGTGTCTAGGGCTGTGAGGGTCTCTTTGGTGCTGGGTTTTTCTGTGGCAGGCCCAGTGTTGGGGTCTAAGGCAAAGTCTGATGCTCACTTCCTTCTCCTACCATCATGTGGAGGGTATCTGTCTCCATGCTGTGCTGTCTGGTAATTGGGGGAAAAGTGAAGCAGGTAATGTGAAACTGTCCTTCCTCTCTCTCCAGTGCATCTTTTCTTGTTTCCGTGCTATACCCAGGTGCTGAAATCTCTCACCTGGTTTCCTTCACTTTTGTGAAGGTATTTTTGTGTGCGGATAGTTGTTCAAATTGATGTTTCTGTGAGAGAGGGAGCACTGGAGAGCCTTATTTTATCATCTTGCTGACATCTCCTCAAATCATACTTTTAAAAGGCATTTATTTAATCTGTAGTAGTATATTATTTAATTTCTGTTTGAGAACACAGACATAGTTCCTGAAACTTGCTGAAGCAATTTTTAATAATCAACGGATAGTACATCACAAAATGCCATATATCTACATTCAGAAGGCAATGAAGTTTTTGGTAATTGGAAACCAGGTCATTGCTTAATGCATAGTAAGGTCACATTACTGAGAAATCATAGGAATTAATTATATCTAATCAATTCTTTTGATAATTGTGCATATTGCAATAATATTTTCATTATTTTGGCGATTGTTGGTAAGACTATTTGTGAAACAAATACTGAGCTCCATTTTGGGGTAATGAACTGCTGTTGGTGCCACAGAGAATATAAGGCTTTAGAGAAAAATTGGACATGCTAAACTGTGCCATTAGCCAAATAAAACAATAAAAGTGCATATCATTTTGTGCTTCATCAGAGTCATTTTACCAAAATTTTTATTTTCTAATTAATTGGTGAAAATTTAACAAGTCCTAGTCATCAAATTAAGAAAAAAAAAATTAGAAAACTCTATGTGTAGAGATTCAAGGAAATATAAAATCAAAATGTTGTATATTTCCTTAATGGATTTCCTGTTCTATCTAATTTTGTACTAAGATATACCCTTCTTGCTTAAAGCGTTTTAATAAAGCATGCATCTTTTGACAATCATCTAACTGCCAAGCTTAATAAGAAAAAACAAAGCATATTTCAGTAAGATATAATATCATTTACTTTGATCCAGATGTTGAATTAATAATGAGTGCACACACTGAGATACAGTGCTATTTAAAGCTTTTGTTGACATTTTAAACAAGGCAGCAGAACACAGGGAGATCCTTAATTAGGACAAAGCAGACAAACACCAACAACTTGATGGACTGTCATATGGTTCAGAGCATAAGTGTTAGGGAAAAATGTCAGTTCAGGGCTCAAAGAAGAATCAAAGGAACAACTTTGTACAACTTAGATTTCTCATATCTGGTTTTTATCTCTTTAGAGATTCATGTGTTTAGAGGTCTTTGATGTCCATGATACTTTGACAAAAAAGTGTTTAAGAATGTAAGTGTTGACTGCTTGTATGATAGTTGCCAGCTCTAGCTGTAAGTGTAGACTGACAGAAAATTGGAACAGAAATCAGTGTGTGGCAGGCACAAATTTGTCTTTAATGAATATCTTTTACAGGTGTCAAATTATCCAGTTTAATGTTTCTTCAACCATAAGAATTCCATTATTCTGTCTTTTCCCATAAGAGACCATAAATGTATTCATCTGTCACTAATTAACTCTGTGATTGTGGGCAAATCACTTATGCTTTCTCAGTTTCTATATTCTCATTTGAAAATTGAATAAGGGTGGCATTAGATAATCTCTGAACTTTCTTTTACCACTAATATCCTATAATGCTGTTGAAAAAGATACTTCCCATGTATCTTTGAAAATTATCTCAAAGATTCAGTAAAAAATAAATTCACACATTTTACTCAATGAATATTACTTATATATATGGGATAAAATGAATGAAGTCACAAGAAAGGGCAACTTTTTTTTTTTTTTAGACGGAGTCTCGCTCAGTCACCCAGGCTGGAATGCAGTGGTGTGATCTTGGCTCACTGCAAGCTCCACCTCCCAAGTTTATGCCATTCTCCTGCCTCAGCCTCCCGAGTAGCTGGGAACACAGGCACCTGCCACAATGCCCGGCTAATTTTTTATACTTTTAGTAGAGATGGGGTTTCACTGTGTTAGCCAGGATGGTCTCGATCTCCTGACCTCGTGATCTGCCCACCTCGGCCTCCCAAAGGCCTGGGATTACAGGCAGAAAGAGCAACTTTTACCTTCGAAAGCTCAATTAGGAATTGAACAGGTACTTGTTAAAGAGATCGCTTTAGTAGAAAGTCATGGCCAACAGCAAGAACTCCATAGAATGCCCACAGAATCCATATTTTTCAACTATAGATTTATTATGCAGAATTCTACTCTTGTCTGTACTGTCTGCCAACAGCCATATTTTATAGCTGAATTTTACGTTTCTAAAAATAGAGAAAATGGAAGGAAATGCTGACGTGCTGTCTCAGAGAAGGAAAAGGTACAGCTGCAATTGTTGAAACCTCAGTGGTAGAAAAACATTGCAATTCAGTTGTTTTCTTTGTCCTCAAATTACTGTATACCTTAGATCTCTAACATGCCATGTCACAACATTGCTATGTAGAGTGTCCACATATTTATTCTCCAAACCACAACACTTAAAGGAGCGAAGGGCGTAAGTGCTACTAATAATTACAAGGACAATAAGCATAAAATGGAACTATTTTGTACAAACTGGGAAATATGGTCACCCTATTGGCTTATGTTTCTATTTCTTGTTTTACAAAGATGTTCACTTTAAATATTGTTTTATTAGTCTTTATTTTAGATTCAACAGTATTGACACTTGCTCTGGATTACTCTTTAAATTGGGTTTTAATAAAAGTTTCATCATTAATTAGCTATATGACTTCATGATATATTTTTTAAAATTTCCTTGAATCTTAGTTTCCTGACTGTGAGGATTATTAAGGTCTATATAAAGACAGCTTAACATATGGTGGTTTCTCAGAAAAAAAGTGACTTCCTTTAACTAGATAGAGAACAGTGTTTTTTTTTTTATCAAGTTCTCAGAGACTTGAGAGAGTAGATCTGAGATCATTATAGTTTTTCTAGTGTCACAATTGTTCTATGGTTTCTTTCCTTTTAATTATATTGGTGTTGAGGATCTTTTTCTACATTTTATTCAATTGTTTAGGTGATGTCTCATATTAACGTCCTCCACCGAAGATCTATCTGGATCTTTCTGGGGGTGATAGCAATTTAAAGTTTGGAAAGCTTTCAAAGGGTTCAGAGGCATGCTTTCTATCATGCCTTTCTGGTGCCCTGCGAGTCAAAATCCTCATGTGCTTCATTTGCAAGAAATGGCCAATTACTAGCTTTTTGTGAAATTCTACTTGCTTGACTTCTATAACATTGCAATATTCTCATTTTTCATGTATTTCTTTAGCTATTCTCTTTTGCCTTAGTGAACTTACCTTCCTCTGTCCAATCTTTAAATTTTAATTTGGCCATTTACTCTCTATACCCACATATCTTCCCTGGGTGACCTCATCCACTGTCATAGTTTCAACAAACATCACTTGCTGTTAGTCTCAAATCTATACACATCTCTAGCCAACAGCATTCCTCTGAACTTCAGATTATATACTTAACTTTCAAATCATCATCTCTTCTCACATAACACTTAGGCTCACCTCTACCAATCTCATTTCCCCTTTTCCATTCTCTATTTCTTTAGATGGCTTCACCAACACGATCATCTTCCCAGGTACTCAGCTTAGAAATTGGGGACTCATATTCTTCTCTCCCATCACATATGTTCAATCAAAAACCAACTTCTACCAAGTTTATTTATTAACATTTATTAATTATTCCTGAATCTGTGTCTTTCGTTCACCCTCATCTTTTTTTTTTTTTAACCGCAGTCAGAACTTTCAATATTTTTTTATAGATCGTGCAATGGCTCCCTACCTCTTCTCTCTGCTTACAGTTACATCTTTCTTCAATCCAGCTGTAAATTTCACTGTTCCGTTCTCTTACATTCCTCAGTGGTTTCTCTTCTTCTTTCTTCCGTATCATGATACCCTGGATCATTTTTTTTTTTTTTTTTTTTTTTTTGAGACAGAGTCTCACTCTATCACCCAGGCTGGAGTGCAGTGGCACAATCTGGGCTCACTGCAACCTCCACCTCCCGGGTTCAAGCGATTCTCCTGCCTCAGCCTCCCGAGTAGCTGGGATTACAGGTGCCTGCCACCATGCCCGGCTAATTTTTGTATTTTTAGTAGAGGTGGGGTTTCACCATGTTGGCCAGGCTGGTCTTGAACTCCTGACTTCAAATAATCCACCCACCTCGGCCTCCCAGAGTTCTGGGATTACAGGCATGAGCCACAGCGCCTGGCCCCCTGGATCATCCTTGATCCACCCTTTGTCTGACCCTTCTGCTTCTCTAAGTACAGCTCTTATATCTTGTCACTTCTGACGACATGTTTTATTTTACTGTGACAAAATTCCTTCTTGTTTTCTTGGCATGCATGTACACACAGAGAAACACATGCACCACCACTACCACTACCACCACCACCACCACCACCCCTATTCTGTTTTCTACATACTGTAACTTGGCTTATAATGTGCTCTTGGCATGGAGTCACTTTTTTCCTCCTTCTTTTATCTTGACAACCTCCCACACATCTTTCGCTCACTGAATAAGCATCACTTTACTCCAGGAAATCAAATCTAGGCTTTGTTAGGACTTCTCCACCCTGTTCCCTTAGACCATATACAGGTTTCTATCATTTATCATGTTGTATACTAATGATCTGTTTTGCATCAGTCTTACCCCAGTAAATTGTGAACTCCTTGTGGTCAGCAGTCACCTTATTCAATTTTGAAATCTCAGTTTTTTATATAGTCTGCCATGTGTTAGGTGCCCAAGACCTTTACTGAATGAATACATTTAATAAAGAAATAAATAAATTCTAGTATTTATTAATTCACAGTGACCATGTACTTGTTTGTGTTTTTTTCCTCATTTAATTGAAACAATTTGGACATGTTTCATCAGTATAAAATTCATATAATTGACCACCAATATAAATTCATATGAAATTAACCATCAATAAAAATGTGTCTAATCCATTTTAAGTTATTGTTTATGCAATCCATATAAATTTGTGTTTGAATTTCTGCAATAATTTCAACCAAGGAAGTTCAAATCTTCCAAAATAATATGAAAGAAGTTTACAGTCTTTTGAAAAAATATTCAAAGGGTGAAAGTCACAGGCCCTGATAACTGTTCATATACTATCTTTAATGTCCTCTTATCCTTCATTTCTCACATCTCAATTACTCTTATCTGCTAAACTCTCCTAAAATACTCTCTCAACAGACACCTCTGGGGCATTTTTCTTTATCCCCACTCCTCATTTATTTTTTATTTAGATTGTCACTTAGCAAAAGAATAATTCCTATTAAATAAGATAGGGAAAGAGCACAAGCGAGTGCTCAAATACCAACTTCTCCTTAGCGGAAGGAGGCAGGGAATGTTTTGAACTATCTCATCCTGATGATTGCTGCCCAGCACTTATACGTGTGTGTTGTAACATTGCTCTCTCTGGATTATTGGTCAATTATTCTTTTATATTGTCACATAGAAGACATCTGTATGTGAATGTGCCCTTTCACTGGAGGTGACATTCGCATTTCCTCTTCAAAAAACAAACAATCAAAAATCTGAATATGTAGTAAATTTGCAGAGGCCGTCGAACAAATACTATAAATCAAGTGGTTTAAAGCAGCCCTCTTGGTTTGTTGAAAGGAAAAATCTTGAACTCAGCACTTTGCATTCTCTCTTGTAGTTTGTTTGTGATTAGTGTCTATGTACTTTGTGCTTTATATATCAGCAACAGCTGTACACTGAGGCTCCTAGGGAAACCTCCTGAAAATAGCTTTGTTGCAAAAAGAAAATGGCATTTATGAACTTTGGCAGGAACTGTACTCTTGAGCCATGTTCAATTTTAAAACTTGAATGGAAAAATCCACTGCATGGAGAAGCCAGCCAGGCAGGATCATGAGCTGGATCTATTGTTAGAAGAAGAAGGAGGTGCCAACAGCTCAGAGGGCTCTGGGGGCTCTGAGAGCTTATGTACACTGTGTCCTGCAGGGGTCCTGGACAAGGTCGCTTGGATAGCGGCCTAACCACAGCATTATACATGCTCAGGAAGAGGCAAAGCCGGAAATTTACCACTTGGCAAAGCGTCTTTACAAAACCAGAGTTTGGCTTTGTGGTAGCTTCCTTAGGTAATGGTTTCACAATTTTTCAAAAATAACTTCATTTTACTCATTCACTCACTAAGTCAGAATGTTTCTATTATTTGAGAGTCCTTTATAGAGGTGGAAGGTTCTACCTCAGTCAGGTCCTGAGAGCAGTGCCTGACTATCCCAGTCCTGTCACCTTATATACGTTCAATGTGTTGTGTTCTTACTATTGTCTGGGGTGGTGTGAGAGTCTCATTTTGCTTAGTTGTCAGTGCTGACGGCTGCTGAGAGCTGCTCAGCCAGCCACATCTGAATTGCAGTAGGTGAGGTTTACAGCCTTCTGCCCCAGTATCAGTCAAACGTGCTAAAAGAATGTCTGGCTCCGTGAGTAGTTATTTCTCAATACTTCAGTATTATGCTAAGTTACTTCACCACAGCCAGGCAAAGTCTTCTATTTTCATAGCCAGATACTTTGCAGGATGTGAGGCCCCAGCATGCCAGGGCTAGGATGAATATTTGTGTCTGTCATGATTCAAGCTACCACAGATTCTGCATGAATTAGAGAAGGGTCACTTTAGCCCGAGGGTGCTGTTCATGAGCCAAAAAGCTCTCACAGAAGCCAGAAGCTGTCTCTGAAAATCTTGTCCAGAGCTTTCCTTACTATAATAGCCATTTTTGAAAGGTCTGTGTCCTAAAGGGGTTGCATCACTCTTATTGAGTGACTCTTTTAGTTTTTCACAAAAACTATTGCTTTTGGAGTATTGGACGGGGTAGCAAAAACTTGATAGCTCTTCTTTGCGCTTAAACCGGTGCCAGCCAGTGTAGCCCCTCAGCCTCCTCTTTCTCTACCTCATGGTGATTTATTTTTCCAAGAGCCTTTTTTTTTTCTTTCCATATCACTTGGCCTGAATTGGAGCTACCCTAGCCGCCATGGTAGATCTCCCAAAGCCTAAATATCAGGAAGAAGAGGTCAGAGAATTTATTTGAGATTCCACTTTCCAGTAGGCACGCAGGTTTGTGAAAATCCCTCCTTTTCCACATTTGAACTCCACATGGGAAGAGAAATGCTGGCTCTATAAGTCAGACTGAAGGCCCTATTGCATCATTTCTGCTAGAGAGGACTAACCAAGGGCCATTCAGGGATTCAAGGTGACCTACCTCTACAGTCATGGCAGCTTCTGCAGGTTAAAACAAATAAACAAACAAACCAAAAAGCTTAAAATCGTTTAAGTATAGGGCACACAGCAATATATAAAGACATTCTATGGTATTTCATGAAAAATAAAAAGGTTGATTTGATCTCAATTTTTTTTATATTGAGGACTAGTACTATGGTCTGTTGAGAAATATAAACTTTTCTTTAGGGAAGGTCTAAAAATAGAACAAAATCTTATTAGCCTAGAAGAATTTTAGCATGGTTCTGTTATAAGGCAAGTGAATGAAGGAAAAGTAGCTTCTGGGCCATTGTAATCAAGTGTTTTGTCTGTTTTTTAAAAGACCAGTCATTAATTGCTTAGGCGTGGGTTCTAAATCAGAAGATGTCGGAAAGTGAGCTCTCGGGATTTGCGTTCTGCTGCAAATATTGCAGCAATATTGGGTCAGCAGCAAATATTGCAATATGAATGAATCCTCCATAAGTTTACAGGAAAATTTTAACTTCTGAACTACTGTAATTTCCTCATAACTTATATACGGTTGAAATCACCGAAATAAATGAGGGCAAGGTATTCTCGTGCATTGTAAGAGTTTAGTTATGTTTACATTATCACACAAAGATTATTTTTTGTTTTTATTCGGCAGCCTCCACCTCAGATATATGACAAGCAGTTGGATGAAAGAGAACACACAATTGAAGAATGGAAAGGTAAGTCTACTACTTAAAAAAGTATACTTTTTATTTTATTGAACTCAGAAAGTATCAACAAGGCTTTTCCTTGTAAAACAATTTACTAAAAAATGATTTGCTGACTGCTATTCTCTTAGACCATTTTTAAAGCTCCTAAAACTTCATCTGTCTTTTCATGCCGAAAGCAATGTCACATTTGCTCAAGAATGAAAGGCATTTACCATTGATACCTTTTAAAATGGTACTGATTGTCAGTGTTTGTCGATACCTTTTAAAATGGTACTGATTGTCAGTGTTTGTCATGGTGGGGGGCAAGCTTTAGTTCAGAATTCCAGAATACAACTTTCTATGTTTGTACATAAAATCATCATATGAAGCATGAAATTAAAATTAATTCTGAGATGGTTTTAGACTTTAGAAAATAAAAGATAGTCAATATATGAGTTTACTCATTGGATTGATAAGACTTGAGAATTTACATAGAAAATATGTGTATCTGAGTAGCCTATTAATCTAATCTACTAATCTAAATCACTACAGAATAGAATAAATATGAGAAAGTCAAATGCAGATTGTAGCAAATGATCAGATCAAAATGGGAAGAGCTGAAGGGAAGGAACATTTGAGCTACCTTGCAGGAATTAATAAGTGTAAATTAGGAAAAGAAAAAATATTAAGAAAATATCAGATAAAGGACTAAGAGGAAAACAAAGGACAGGAATAAGCAGAAAATGTTATAAAGATACTAAACAGGGCCAGGAGCGATGACTCACACCTGTAATCCCAGCAGTTTGGGAGGCTGAGGCTGGGGGATCACTTGAGCCCGGGAGTTCAGAACCAACCTGGGCAACATAGGGAGACCCTGTCTCTGCTAGAAACATACAAAAATTAGCCGGGCATAGTGGTACACACCTGTAGTCCCAGCTACTTGGGAGGCTGAGGTGGGAGGATCACTTGAGTCCAGGAAGTTGAGGCTGCGGTGAGCCATGATTGTGCCATTGTACTCAAGCCTGGGTGACAGAGAAAGTCTCTGCCTCTCTCTATATATATATGTAAAATAAAAAATAAAATAAAAAAATTTTAAAAGATACTAAAGAGATTCCACTGGTCCAGAGATTCCAGGGTCATGTTGGTGAATATGGAAAAATGAACATATACAAAAAGTGGATCAAGTGAAAAAAGATGCTTGATATAGATGAAAAAGAGTTGCTTTGATCCAAGTAAGGACAGGAAGGCACTCCTTAGGGGCTCATGAATAGGTGGGTGATAGGATATAACCATCATTTGAGGAGGACATGGACTAAATTGTGAGAAATTGGAGAAAGAAGTACATGTAAAGGATGATGATTATACAGATTATAAGCCATTGCAAAGCAAGAATGAGTAGGGCGGAATGATTTTTAGCTAAAGGGACAGAGTAAACAGAACTGAAACTATCCAATTTAACTCTAGCATTCAGAAAGCCAAAAATGGATGCCAGTCTGAGAGTAAATGAACTAAATTTTTTAATGTGTTTGGTTTTTGGCAAGTTTAGATTTACAAGTCCAAGATATGAGTCTGGAAAAAAAAAAAGATGCAGTAAGAGATGGAAGTTGTAAGGATTGGTAATAATTTAAAGTCATGAGAATGTGTGCATTTCATAGGAAATAAGTATAAAGAAAAATGGATGTTCAAAGCCATAAAAATTGTTGCTAGATTGAGCTAGAATGTATTAGTACTTCCCCCAAAGAATTCAGAAAACAAGTAAAACATGTATTACTTGTTTCATTTATGTAGAAATATTTCATGCATGTAGAAATAAATGTTATTTATGTAGAAATGTATGTAGAAATAAATACTATGTATATGGAAATAAATAGTATGTTTCATGTACGTAGAAATAAATTTTCATGCATTGATTTCTTCAACTGCTTTACTAGATACCTATTTGTGCCAGGCTCTCTGCTAATTACAAGGCAATATAGAAATAGAAATAGAGCAGTAAAGGAATCTCAATTGATTTTTAATTTACTCAACCCCATCAAAACGTAATTATTTGGCATTAAGTAATGAATTTCCCTGTGGATGAAGGATAAATTTGTTTTCTATAATAACACAGCTGTTTCTTACAGAACTTATCTACAAGGAAGTAATGAATTCAGAAGAAAAGACTAAAAATGGTGTAGTAAAAGGACAGCCTTCTCCTTCAGGTACTCACTCTCCGTGAATAACCAATAAACTAGTACTTGTGTAATTTCTTGGCCTTTGTGTAGGGGTTGCAAGAAATAACATAACATTGCTTAAAGAGCAGATGGACAAATATCACATGGTTGTGTCCTTATAATGATTTTAGTTTTATTTCTTTTGATATTCAGTGTGGCATTCATTCTGATTATTCTGATGGTAATGATCCAGTACAAAAACTTTTTCATAAATAATTTTAATAGTAATGAATCCTGAAGAAAATGTTAACATGGGCTAAAGGGTAAATGTGCCTCATCAAAATTCAGAGCCATAATGCCCTTTTGACCATCAAGTCAATGTGGAGCTCAGTAATCCTTTCAGCCGCTACCTCTTCCCTCATTCATTCTTAGTGTTTGAACTCTTCTCAAGGTTGATGTGACAATAGTTGAAACATCTACCAAGATGGGCTCCGGTTAAGGTCAGCTTGGAAAATTTTTCGTTTGCTAGCCACAGAATCTAATACACAATTGTGCATATATATTTTTTACTGATCCTAGTAATGTGCTTTAGTATGACTTGAGACAATTTACTTATTAATGCTAATATATTTTTTCCTAAGACCTATGCTCTCACTATAAAGAGTTTTAGAAAATGTGATGGTTTATTTTCAGCTTTAAAAACTACATTCAACTCCTGCTAGCAAAAATGGGGGCTACAAATGCCTAGTTTTGAGAAAAACTGATTAGGGTGTTGTTTTCCTAAATTATTTTAGGAAAAAAGATGTAGAATGAAATAATTAATCAATTATTCATATCGATACTACTCTTCGAATAACTAATTTACACCCCAAACCACTATGATACCCAAACAGATGCAATTCGGTTATGACATGCTTTTCTCACCAGTAGACTTGAAAAAATACTCAGTTTTATCCCAAGTTTTTCCCTTCCTCAAAGAAGGTTAAGGGAATCACAGGAGTTGTTTTCCATACCACCCTCTCTACTCATTCACCCTCGCATACAGATTGACACAGTCCACAGAAGCTGCTTCAAACTAATCCACGTTTGGCCTGTTGCTCATTAAAAAACTTGAAGACAGAATCCAAAAGCCTCAAGATGCCACCTGCTAAGGCAGAATGACTCCTTGTTTTAAGAATTCCTATAATGACCAGAACATATTGTCATGTACTCATTAAGCAGCAGAAATAACAGAATGTAGCCACGGGTAACCTAGCATGTTAGGCTGGGCCTGGACAAATTTTAGTAGAACCTATTCTATTCATCTTCAGTTCAAGTTATCATTACTTCATTTCCTTTTCATACCACCTTATCCCAAAAGACTTTTTATATCTTCCCAAATAATAGGATCTTTCCTTTCTATAGGTCCTACTAGTCCCTGTATGTTAAATATTTGACCTCTTGTCTTATTATCCCGTATTGATTGTAATTTCATTGAGAAGACTGTATGCATTTATCTTTGTGTCCCATGTAGTGCCTGGGTGCTGTGCCTTGCACATAGTAGTAGCTCAGTAAATATATATTAATTTGAAAATTGCCACTCAATTTCTCCCTCAGCATATTTCTTAGTACTATTCCAAACACAAAATTCAAGACAAGATCATGTAACTTTAATACAGTATACTATTCAGCATGTTCTTACACCATTATTATAAATATTTATTCACTCTATTAATCTCCATGAAGATAAACAGGCCAAGCATAAAGTATATAAATTCTTGCTATTGGCATTTTTTCATGCTTCACATAAAGGTTTGCAGCTTTCAGGTGTTTGATTTATTCATTTTGGGAAATATATATTCATGGATGTTTTGCAGGCCTGCTTAGTGTGTTAATGATTAATTCTAAAATATGCAACTTAGGCTCTACCTGAGTGAGAAGGCTAAGCCACTTTTTAACCATTCCAACTACCTTAACAATTAAAAATTATCTATGTAATACATATGCCCTAAACTATAGTTGACTGGCTTAACCAATTTATAGTTAAAATGATTGTGGATTAAATCTAGGAAAAATATTCATGACTTAGTTATAAGTCATGTAGTATGACTTTCTCTTTCGTGAGAAATCATATGTATGCTACACATTATGGGATGCATTTCTGTATGACATATTTATGTGCATGATGGAGAGGCTCTAGGGCAGCCATGTGCTGGCGCTGACTCTACCAGCTCATGACGGCCAACTCTGTACCTCTCTTCCCAACTATGCATTTATTGTTGGTGTGTTGGCAACGTGAAATCAGGCACGAAGGATTTACAACATGGAAATTGGCAGACCCTACAAATCAGGGCGTTTTTGTTGCCCCCTGCAGAGCCAATTGTTAAATTTTTATTGGCGCACCACTGTGTGTATGCG
This sequence comes from Homo sapiens, assembly GCF_000001405.40. NCBI lineage: Eukaryota > Metazoa > Chordata > Mammalia > Primates > Hominidae > Homo > Homo sapiens. The sequence continues at coordinate 86,026,847 of NC_000004.12, read as the reverse complement.
TTTTTGTGTGTATAATAAACTATGCTGGAAAGAAAAAGCAATTCTAAAAAAAAGTTTGAAAAGTCAGCTTTTTTGCATTGTTCATTATATTCAGCTTTTTTTCATTAATGTTCACGTAGCATATTTTATTTTGAAAATAGCTGTGGTATTTTTATAACACACACTCTGTTAGTATTCAGTTATGGCAATACTGGGAATTCTGCAGCAAGGGAGTAAGTTAATGCAGTATCTCAGGGGCCAAGTACTTCTAATACGAAACCCATGTTATGCGATGCTTTTAAAATGTAAATAGGAAGTTAAATGTGCATTTGCAGAATAATTTATAGGTTTGAAATTTATTGATGAAATTGTTGTATGTCAATAAGAGATAAATCTAAACTTCAGATACATTTCCAAATAAATAATTGTATTCCCTTCTGCTATCTGATTTCACTTGCATAGTAATTTATTTTCAAGGATGGCATAGCTGCTTGCTTCCTGAATTGATCTGTAACAATTGCTGAGGGACTAGCAGTCCATGAATTGAAATTAATTTTCTTCTAAAAGCATTTGTTATAGTACGTTAGAACTAGAAAAAATACAGGAGAGCATCTGATTCACCAATTCTGAGTTTGTTCACCAGCCCTCTTCCACCTGAGAAGTAAAGCTCCCAAAACTAACAGTGACTCACTAAGATAAGGATGCTGAACAACAGGATGGGCAGAGATTTTTCAAAATCTCTAAATCAAAGATAAAGCTTCTGGGTGATTTTAATATGCAACCATTCTCTCCCCAGTGAGGACCACATTCCCCACCATGGGAATATGTCTTAGGGTCACTAATATAGTCCATTAATTTTATTTACTTTTTATTAAAAAATCTCAGGCCCAGACAAATTGTGGCTCAAGATCATGTAGATAAAAAAGACACTATTTTTTCATTCTTGTGCTTTTTCTAATTCTGTGTCTACCATATTTTTTTGTTGTTGTTGGGATTGGGGGTTATCAGGAAAATCATTGCCTTTAAAAAAAGCAGAACAACATTTTCCCCCATAACAATGTTTTTTGGTTGAATAACTTGTAGCTGAGAAATTTTCTTTAGCATATGTTACTTCTTTCTATGAAATCTGATTTTTTAGGTAAAGTTGAAGGTAGCTAATATTCCTCATTTGCAACCCTATTGACATTTTCAGTTCCTTTTAATGCCATTTTTATAGACAAAAATTTGTAATGCTTTATTGATGGCAAAACATTTTTGAAAATGTGTATCTCTACTGTTTTCTCTTAAATAATATAGAAAGAAGAGATATTTCTCACATTGACTGGACAACTGAACACAATGATCATATTCAATTCAGTTCAATTCTGTTTAAGAGATTTTCGCAAACTGCTTGGCAGTAATTTAACAACTTAAAGCCAAGGCCCATGTCTTGTCCCTTACGTTTGTGTTTGGGTTTATGGTTTAGAACTCCTGTTTATTGCCTACATGAAAATAGACTTGAATGGATCATCCAGCAGAAGTGGCTGCAGGCAAGGAGGCATTTATTATAGCGCAATAGAGGGAGTCATACAGAAGCAAATAGTTTTCATCTAATAGTGGTGGACTGGTTAACATTTAACAACTATATTTAAAAAAAGAATTGACTAGTAGCACTTAACAATTCCTGTGGTATAAATATTCTCACTGTGACCAATTTTAAGCAACAATGTAACATCAATGGATGCAGAGTTGGAAAGAGATGCTAATAATTCGTTCTAAGAAGCCACTAAAAGCCAGCTCCAGGACACCATAGACAGTGCACGGTTCTCTCCCACCATCACACTGGATAGCAAGGAACCATTCCCATGAAACAAGCAGATGTCATGGGAACTTTTACAAAGGAAGCACTGAAGACTTCTCTTAATGAATTTGTGCCATATAAAATCAGAAGCAATAGTCTATGGATCCCTAGAAATACAGCTGATAAAGACTTTGATAGATTTTGAACTTTGAGTAGTTGAACACTAATTATATTTGCATTCAACATTGATAAACTAGAGGGCAGGACCATTCCAACACAGAGGATAGGAATTAGAGAGAAGCTGCTGATGAACAAAAGGAGAAGAAAGACAACTGCAACAAAGTGATTTCCTTTGGCCAAAAATAGCTTAACAGTTTCACTAGTTGGAAAGCAGGAAGGAACTTGCTTTTCCTCACAGAACCTATCTAGAAGAGTACACATAAGATACTCAATACTGTTTTGTTAACTCGAATACTTACTCTGTGCTACTACTCAGCAGTAGACATTGTGGAAGACAGGAGAAATGAAGTATAATGAAAGCAGTAAAAAGAAGCAGGGGAAATATATGCTTGAGGTAATCCATAACAAAACTACATATAATAAGGGGCTGACTGGTATGGCATAACACTCGGAATATTCCAGAAGTGTGCTGAAAATATGCTGATTTTGAAAATAAGTGCAGTAGGAGTGCTGTGTGTTTTATAAGCATAGCCTGCAGCACGATCCTGTTTATGAAGAGCTTATTAAAAGCTACTTTGGCTTTTGTTACATACATTCAATATTATTTGTAGATATAAATTTGTGTTTTGGAGAAATTTCTTCAATGCTCTTTGTTTAATTTCTCTAGCTGCCATTGTTGTGGGTTTGTGTTTATTTGTAAACATCAAATTGTTTTACTATAAGGGAGCCTTATTTCAGCTAAGACTTATCTCACCCTTATTTGAATCATTACTCAACTTTAATTGTGACAATAAGAATGTGTCTACATAATCAACTCCAGCCAGGATAGGGGAAAAAGCCTATCTCAAGAGAAGACCAAGATTATTATTAAAGACTTAAAAATACTTTTTGGTTTGTATTATGCCACAATTTTATTTTAAAACTTTTTAAAGTTTTAAAACTGGTTATTTTCTCATAAAACCAGTTATTTTTAAAACTGGTTATTTTCTCATAAATAAAGCATGCTATCATAATCGCCTGGTTCCACTGGCTTTCTAGTTAATTACAACATTCATTTTATATATATATATATATATATATATATATATATATATATTCATTTGATCTGTTTTTAACATCCAATCCACTGACACTGAAACTTCTTATTCAAATAAGTCCTCAGTATAATTGTATTTCTACACATTAGCAATGAACATAAAACAATTCCATTTAGAATAGCATCAAGAAATACATATTTAGGAATAAAGTTAGCAAAAGAAGTACAAGTTTTGTACTCTGAAAACTACGAAACATTGTTGAAAGAAATTAAAGAGGATCTAATAACTGGAAAAACATTTCATTGCTCATGGATTAGAATATTTAATATTGTCAAGAAATGACAGATACTCCCCGAATTGATGTACAGATTAAGCCAATACTTATCAAAATCATAGCTGTCTTTTTTGCAGAAATTGACAAGCCCCATCTTAAAATTTGTGTGGAAATGCAAAGGATACAGAATATCCAAAATAACCTTGAAAAACAACACAGCTGGGAAATTTACATGTTCTGATTTCAAAACTTACTACAAAGCTACAATATTCAAGACAGAGTGCTATTTGCATGAAGATACACAAATAGATCAACGGAATCAAATTGAGAGTCCAGGAATAAATACCTACATTTATGATCAATTGATTTCTGATAAGGATGTAAGACATGGACAAAGAATAGCCTTTTCAATATATGGTGCTGGGATGATTGGATATATACATGCAAAAGAATGAAGGTGGGCCCCTGCCTCATATCATATACAAAAATGAACTAAAAATGAATCATAGACTTAAGTATAAGGTCTAACATTATAAAACTCTTAGGCAAAAACATAGGAGTAAGTTTTTATAATCTTGGATTAGAAAATGGTTTATTAGATATGACACTAAAACACAAGTGATAAAAGAAACAACAGATAAATGCTATTTCATAAAAATTAAAAATATGTGTGCTTCAAAAGACACCTTCAAGAAAATGAAAAGATAAACCATAGCATAGAGGAAAAACATTTGAAAATACATATCTCATTAAGTAACTTGTACCCAGATTATATAAAGAGCTCTTACAGGCCTGTCACAGTGGCTCATGCCTGTAGACCCAGCATTTTGGGAGGCAGAAATCGGAAGATCACTTGAGGCCAGGAGTTTGAGACCAGCTTGGGCAACATGGCAAGCTCCTGTCTCTACAAAAAATCTTTTTTTTAATTAGCCAGGTGTGGTGGTATGTGCCTGTAGTCCTAGCTACTTGGGAGGCTGGGGCAGGAGAATTGCCTGAGCCCTGGAGTTAGAGGATACAGTGAAACATGACTATGCCACTGTGCTACAGGCTGGGCGACTGAGACCCTGTCCTTAAAAAAAGAAATAAAGAAGAAAGAAAGCAAGAAAGAAAGGAAGAAAGAGCTAAAGAGCTTACAACTCAATAATAAAAAGAAAATAAAGCAATTAAAAAATGGCCAAAGGAGCTGAGTAAACTTTCTCCAAAGAAGATATACTAATGGCTGACAAGCACATGAAAAAATATACTCAACATTATTAGCTATCAGGCAAATGCAAATCAAACCACAATGAGATACCATTTCATGCACACTAGGATGGCTAGATAAAAAGACAGATAATAAGTGTTGGTGAGGATGTAGAGAAATTGGAATCCTCATATACTGCTGGTAGTAATGTAAAATGGTGCACCCACTTTAGAAAACAGTTTTGAGAGGTGAGAGCGTGCTGGCAGTCCTCAGAGCCCTCGCTTGCTCTCGGCACCTCCCCTGCCTGGGCTCCTACTTTGGCGGCATTTGAGGAGCCTTTCAGCCCCCCACTGCACTGTGGGAGCCCCTTTCTGGGCTGGCCAAGGCTGGAGCCCACTCCCTCAGCTTGCAGGGAGGTGTGGAGGGAGAGGCACGAGCGGGAACCCGGGCCGCGTGCGGCGCTTGCGGGCCAGCTGGAGTTGCAGGTAGGCGTGGGCTTGGCGGGCCCCCGCACTCGGGACAGCCAGCCAGCCCTGCTGGCCCCGGGCAGTGAGGGACTTAGCACCCGGGCCAGTGGCTGCGGAAGGTGTACTGGGTCCCCCAGCAGTGCCGGCCCACCGGCGCTGTGCTCGATTTCTCGCCGGGCCTTAGCTGCCTTCCTGCGGGGCAAGGCTCAGGACCTGCAGCCCGCCATGCCTGAGCCTCCCACCCACTCCATGGGCTCCTGTGCAGCCCGAGCCTCCCCGACGAGCACCACCCCCTGCTCCATGGCGCCCAGTCCCAGCGACCACCCAAGGGCTGAGGAATGCGAGCGCACAGCGCAGGACTGGCAGGCAGCTCCACCTGCAGCCCTGGTACGGGATCCACTAGGTGAAGCCAGCTGGGCTCCTGAGTCTGGTGAGGACGTGGAGAGTCTTTATGTCTAGCTCAGGGATTGTAAATACACCAGTCAGCACCCTGTGTTTAGCTCAAGGTTTGTGAGTGCACCAATCGACACTCTGTATTTAGCTGCTCTGGTGGGGCCTTGGAGAACCTTTATGTCTAGCTCAGGGATTGTAAACATACCAATCAGCACTCTGTGTCTAGCTCAGGGTTTGTGAGTGCACCAATCGACACTCTGTATCTAGCTGCTCTGGTGGGGCCTTGGAAAACCTTTATGTCTAGCTCAGGGATTGTAAATATACCAATCGGCACTGTGTATCTAGCTCAAGGTTTGTAAACACACCAATCAGCACCCTGTGTTTAGCTCAAGGTTTGTGAGTGCACCAATCCACACTCTGTATCTAGCTGCTCTGGTGGGGCCTTGGAGAACCTTTGTGTTGATACTCTGTATCTAATCTGATGGGGACGTGGAGAACCTTTGTATCTAGCTCAGGGATTGTAAATGCACCAGTCAGCACCCTGTCAAAACAGGCCACTCGGCTCTACCAATCAGCAGGATGTGGGTGGGGCCAGATAAGAGAATAAAAGCAGGCTGCCCGAGCCAGCATTGGCAACCCACTTGGGTCCCCTTCCACAGTGTGGAAGCTTTGTTCTTTGCTCTTTGCAGTAGATGTTGCTACTGCTCACTCTGGGTCCATGCTGCTTTTATGAGCTGTAACACTCACCACGAAGGTCTGCAGCTTCACTCCTGACCCCAGTGAGACCACGAGCCCACTGGGAGGAACGAAAAGCTCCAGACTCGCTGCCTTAAGAGCTGTAACACTCACCGTGAAGGTCTGCAGCTTCACTCCTGAGCCAGCGAGACCACGAACCCACCAGAAGGAAGAAACTCCGAACACATCTGAACATCAGAAGGGACAGACTCCAGACGCGCCACCTTAAGAGCTGTAACACTCACCGCGAGGGTCCGCGGCTTCAATCTTGAAGTCAGTGAGACCAAGAACCCACCAATTCCGGACACAGTTTGTCAGTTCCTCAAGTGTTAAAGCTAGAATTACTCTATGCCCCAGCAATTCCACTTCTAGGTGTATACCCAAGAGAAATGAACACATGTCCATACAAAACTCGTGCATGAATGTTCATAACAGCATTATTTGTAATAGCCAAAAAGTTGAAACAACCTAAATATCCATCAAATGCCTATCAACTAATAAATAAACAAAATGTGATGTATCCATACAATGGAATATTATGCAGCCATACAAAGATATGAAATACAGATACATGCCACAGCATGGATAAGCCTTAAAAACATTCTGCTATATGAAAGTGGCCAGTCATAAATGATCACATATGATATGCTTCCATTTACATGAAATGTTCAGAACAGGCAATTTTATAGAGGCAAAAAGTAGATGAGTCATTGCCTAGAGCTACAGGGTAGGTGAGGAATGGAGTGCAGGGTTTTCTTTAGGGATGATGAAATGCTGCAAAATGGATTGTGGTGATGGCTGCACAATGTTGTGAATATACTAAAAAACACTGAATCATGAAAATTAAATTTCTTAATTATATATGTGGATTATATCTTAATAAAGCTGTTACAAAAAATATATGAGCATCATTCTATACCTCAAGTCAAAACTAAATTAAGCTGTAGCACCATAATTTGAAAGGCATCCATAGTCTAGGGATATGTCATCCAGCAGACAAATAGTAAGAAAAAAGCAATTTCCCTCTGCTAGGCTCACAATTGATCAGGCCTTTATAATAGAGTCCTGTGTCCAGTTTTAATCTCTGTCTTTTAATAAGAGTGTGGATAAATGGAAGAGAATTCTGAGGAGTCCATCATAGTGACACTAAATTATTAGCAACTTATGAAAGAATATGAAGGATATTGGTATAATTTAATCCAGAATCGGGGGTGAAAAACAGAGCAGGGCATTTGGGCAATGTAAAGGAACCAAGGGCTGTCTGCTAGGAGATAAAATCTTATCATGAGGGGAAATGAACCAGCTCTGTACCATAGCTATGGGGGATATAATTAAGTAAAGTTGGAATAAATTAAAGCCATTCAAAGTTGGAATATTATGGAATATTATAACTTTATACATTGTCCTGATAGAGTAATTATTTACAGAAAGACAATAACAGGAGGACTTTAAAAACCTTTTCTAGAGACATTTAAGATTAGAAAGGATGGGTATTTTTAGGAGTTTAAAGAACATGAAAAATTCATAAGCTTTTCTGTATATAAAAATATCAAGATCCCAAAAAAATACATATTAAAAGATCACGACCAGGGAAACTTCCAGGCAAAAAGAATGACCGGGAAGAAATATATGAAAAGTTTAACAGTTCTTACCGTTTATTTGAAGATCGGTGCATATCATTATCTTTATTTCCTATATTTTTTCACATTTCCCATAGAGTACGTCCATATATTTATAGTCAACAAATACAACTTAAAAATACATGGAAGATACAGGTGATCTGTCTTAGTTTAGGTGTTTGTGTCCTCTCTAGATAACTGATACATTTTCATCACACTTTTCTCACAGGCAAGAAATGTCTACTCCAGGAGCAAGGATTATGTTAACCACTCCCCTTCCTTAATTTAGTTTTATTTTGTCTTTCTGATTTATTAGGTCTATGTGATAACACTATTATAACTGACTTTGGAGTTATTATTTTTCACCAAATAGATCTTGCACACTATATTTGCTCAAATAAGATATAATTTTAGTGAGAATTCCTCATCTCTTATTTGATTAGGGGACTATACTACAGATTTTTAATAGCGAGCTATTTCACAAAGCAAGTGTGTTACCACTCAGATTGCTTAGGTATAAAGAATATACAAAGAAAAAAAGTAAATGGATTGTTTCCAGGGTGCTCTGGTTTAATTGTATCGCACAATGCCTTTGGTTCATCTTTCTTTTGTTGATCTCAAAGCTACTGGCAACTCAGCTAGCCTTTACTGAGTGATTACCATGGGCAGGTTTCTTCTCAGGGTTTCAACCTTATACTCCCGCATAACAGATAAACAATTTTTTCAAGTTAATCTAAGTTAATAATTTGGAGTTCTTATTTGGAGATCCCAGGTAAGCAAGCCTGCTGGAGAGTTAGCTCATAAGCAAAAGCTGTGCTAAGGCTTCTCCTATTTTTTTTTTTTTTGTAACTTTCATCAACAGTCCTACTTATGTCCTACTGGCTTTTCTATATGCATTTTAAGTTTGGTGTCATTAATGATGACATAATAGTATTTATATATCTTCCTTTCTCTAGAGATGTGGTCCCCAAGTAATTCAGATTTCTGAACTTCACTTCAGCTTCTATTTCTGGGATAGGACCCTTGCATATGTTTGTTTTAAAAGCTCCCTGCATTAAAAACAACCAGGCTCAGATGGCTCCATTAAGGGGTTTTGCTTATTTGTCTCCTGCATAAGCCAGAGGCTTTCAATGCTTGGCTGAATACAGTCTCTGAGGAGCTTTTAAAAAATGCAAATGCCCGCGGGGCGTGGTGGCTCACGCCTGTAATCCCAGCACTTTGGGAGGCAGAGGTGGGCGGATCATGAGGTCAAGAGATCGAGACCATTCTGGCCAACATGTTGAAACCTCATCTCTACTAAAAGTACAAAAATTAGCTGGGTGTGGTGGTGCGCACCTGTACTCCCAGCTACTCGGGAGGCTGAGGCAGGAGAATAGCTTGAACCTGGGAGGCAGAGGTTGCAGTGAGCCGAGATTGTGCCGCTGCACTCCAGCCTGGCGACAGAGCGAGACTCCATCTCAAAAAAAATAAATAAATAAAAATGCAAATACCTTGGCCTCACCCAAGGCCAATTATATTAAAATATATGCAGTGCAGTGGGGGCAGGGGAGGCAATGTGACCAGATATTAGTGTTTTTTAATAGAAAGTGTTGCAGGTGATTTCAAATATAGAGTGAGATTTGATAACTTGTGATGAAGGACTTTTTATTGCTATGTCTTGATTGTCACCATTTGATATGCTCCCCTATGTCAGCTGCTCTATAAAGGCTTGCCAAATGATTGATGGACTGGACATCCCCTATTGTATTTGCCCATCCCTGAATCCTGAATGGCATTAAGATGGGTCTGGTTCTAGATTGAGTCATGTTGGTCTTCATTTTCTTAGCACAGGTGCAGCAGTGAACAGCAGTGAGAGTCTCCCTCCATCCTCGTCTGTCAATGACATCTCCTCCATGTCCACCGACCAGACCCTGGCATCTGACACTGACAGCAGCCTGGAAGCCTCGGCAGGACCCCTGGGTTGTTGCAGGTGACTAGCCGCCTGCCTGCGAAACCCAGCGTTCTTCAGGAGATGATGTGATGGAACACACACACACGCAGACACACACACACACACAAATGCAGACACACAACATCAAGAAAACAGCAAGGGAGAGAATCCAAGCCTAAAATTAAATAAATCTTTCAGCCTGCTTCTTCCCCAGGGTTCTGTATTGCAGCTAAGCTCAAATGTATATTTAACTTCTAGTTGCTCTTGCTTTGGTCTTCTTCCAATGATGCTTACTACAGAAAGCAAATCAGACACAATTAGAGAAGCCTTTTCCATAAAGTGTAATTTTAATGGCTGCAAAACCGGCAACCTGTAACTGCCCTTTTAAATGGCATGACAAGGTGTGCAGTGGCCCCATCCAGCATGTGTGTGTCTCTATCTTGCATCTACCTGCTCCTTGGCCTAGTCAGATGGATGTAGATACAGATCCGCATGTGTCTGTATTCATACAGCACTACTTACTTAGAGATGCTACTGTCAGTGTCCTCAGGGCTCTACCAAGACATAATGCACTGGGGTACCACATGGTCCATTTCATGTGATCTATTACTCTGACATAAACCCATCTGTAATATATTGCCAGTATATAAGCTGTTTAGTTTGTTAATTGATTAAACTGTATGTCTTATAAGAAAACATGTAAAGGGGGAATATATGGGGGGAGTGAGCTCTCTCAGACCCTTGAAGATGTAGCTTCCAAATTTGAATGGATTAAATGGCACCTGTATACCAATTTGTAGAAAGAACATATGTGATACTTATGTAAAGTGTGGGGCGAGTGGGTAACAGTTTTCAGGCACAAAATGGTTTGGCCTTCTGAAGGCAGGTGTGAATAAAAGCTGAGAGTCTTTTCTGTGACAGTAAAGAGTAGGAGAGACTGGAGGGTAGTGTGTGGTGTGGACTAAGACTGAAAGGAGGTTATTACCCAGATACTAGGAGACACTGGTGTCCCTGTTTTAGAGATTTGGCTCTATACCCATTTGTCATTTCTCAATTACTGGTCACAACAAGAGGCCACTGGAGAAAGTGGCAGGTGGTGAAGCAAGGTTATTGTGTGTGCTTTTGATGATAAGAATCTCTCTCTGGAACTGAGCAGAATTGCCTCCATGTGAATTCCTTCAACAAAAAAATGAGCCTGCCTAGACTACTTTCAGATTGTGGATTGTGTTTTCCATGTGTGGGCTGCTTCCCTGATTCATACTCTGCCAAAGTTTTATTTTGAGAAATAATATTACTTTCCTCTTCTGAAATAAAATAATAATAATAATAATGAAACCCCCAAACCACAGTGTGAGTCTCAGGTTAGCATTTGAAAACATCTCCAGAGACATTGTTATTCCTCAGGAGTTTCCCTGACTCCTTAATGTGGCTGATGTTTCATGTTTATTTATTTATTTTAATAAGTATGAGCAATCGAAGGGCTGATCATCTGAGTTTTGTACTGCAGTAGATGTAAGAGCAATAACTCTGCCCATAAATTTACTGCTGCCAAATAGTTTTAGCAATATGAGTTTGTCTTAAAAGCCATGAAGCATTAATGTCAATGTTTAGCAAAATCTCCAGAATTTAGCTTAAATTAAATTAAATGAAAGTGCTTTCCTGAGCACTTAAGGAGGCACTGTGAAACATCTTGGTTATGTACAAGGCAATACCAAGGTGATCTCAGCAATAATCAGGCTTCCCTTCTTATTCACTTCGAAGTATCCATCACAGTTATTTGCACTCTGACCATGTTGGTGCTCACTAGAGTGGTGATATTTCACCTGAAGAAGTGAAAGACAGGAAGTGGATGGTTGATGAGTGTGAACTGATTGGCAAATAGAATATCCCCAAAACAGAGCAAACAAGAATGCCAGTGCTCTGAAAACTGCCTTAAATATAATAATAGGGAACTTTCTTTCTCTCTTCAAGCAATAGAGACCACAGGGAACTGCACCCACCTGCACCATCGCCATGCCAGTGGTGCTGCCATTCTGAGATTATTTCACACAGTCAGATTCAGTACACGCAGTCATTTGTTTAAAATAAATAGAAGAACATTCCTTTGTGCAGCTTGTCCCCTGGAATAAAAATGGCCCATTTTCTCTATTTTGCTACCATTTTTTTTCTGGTTAATATTGCAGATAACCTGATTGTTAAAAATGCCTCCTCAGTCACTTGAGCTCCCTCTCTTTCATATTCCTGTTTTTTTTTTTTTTTTTTAAAAACTTCTCCTCTCTGTATCTCTAATTCTTTACTGATTTTCTTTCTCGGTACTTTTCTCTTGATATATCTGTGGCTTCTCCCCTCCCTTACTTTATACCACATGGGATTAAGTGCGGAGAGCAGGAAGCTGCTTTAAAGAGAGTCTCAAGGGGAATTTCATCAGCCGCAAGATGACATCACAAGACAGAAGGAAGTCTCCAGCCAGCATCTTCAAAGTGCTTGACAGGCTATCTCTCGTACCTGCATAAGTGGTGAATTTCCCCCTCAGAGTAAACCAGGCAAGAACTAGACAGGGCCCCTCCCCCGCTGTTAGTACCTTCCCAAAGCTCAATTAGTCTTACATCTTCTGTGCATGGCTCTTGGGAGCTGGTTAGCTTTAGCCAGATTTCCCTTATGGACAAGAGAAAAATGGAACAAATTCCTTGAATATAAGTATCATTTACAAATAGAGGTAAGGATTTGGCCCCCAGAATTTTTGCAGGATCAGTTTTATTAGGTGATTAAAGCAAGGCAGATGATGGAACAACAAAGAGAATCACCACTGTAAAAGCCCCCCAGTCCTTTGCCCACTAGGTCTGCTTTCCTATAATATGTCTAGGAGGTGATGATATTATCAAATTCACAGAATATAATATGTTCTGCATTCACTTGTCTGTCTTAACACACACACACACACACACACACACACACACACACACACACCCCAAATATTTCTTAAATAGTCACCTGTTATTTCCCAAGAACATCCCAACTTTTCCGGTAGGCAAGTGTCAAGTCACCTGGACAATATTCCTGAAAAAAAGTGAAGGTTCTACCTGGGGTTGGGGCTCATTTTGGAACATGAAGTTGGCACTCTGAGGAGCCTAACCTTCTGTTAGGCTTCCTTTGGGGCAGTTGGTTTGCAGTGATCCTTAATAAAATAGTTTGCAGTATTTTGTAGGAAGGATGGCTGTGTACTCATGTGCAGGGAAAATTAAACTGCTGCAAGAGTTTGGCAAAACCGCCACCACTTTACTATTAATATGTCTTTACTATTTTTATATGTGTTTTGTGGGTCAGCGTGTTCAATTTTAAATAGGAATACACTAGCCTTACAACGGAATTTCTTCTTGTGGAATAAAAACTGATAATAACCTTTCATCTTCAAGAATCTGATGACTGAGTTTTGTAGGAATGTACCCAACAGTTGGACCAGAGCCTGGCCAGTTCCCACCAATTGGAGTAAGCTATTTAATTGAGGGTTAAGAAGCTCGATAGTTTTTTCAATCTGTTATCAGAAAAATATTATCTAAAGACACTGATAGCAGCTGACTGGTAAAACTGAAAGTTGGCCTTAGTAAATGGAACTAGTAAAAAATAGATAAAAATATGTAAAACCTTTTATGTCCTGTCAAGGAAAAAAAAATAAGCAAACTTGATTTGTTTTAAAATTGTAAATATTCATTGCAAAACCTAAATTATACAAAATCTATTTCGATTTGAATCTCTTAACATATGAAAAGCCACATCTTAAGTGCATTATGCTCTGTAAGGCATGTTATTAGCCAGCTTTGCTGAAAAATGTATTCTTCTACAGCTCAGAAAGAGGAGTAAAATTGCTCTAGAAATTTTTGATCTCAGCCACTTTGCATCCAAAGAGGAACCCAACTCCCCACTCACAATCCCCCACACACATTTTAATTATAAGAGTTCAACATTTTCCACAGATATCATTAAGCCAAGCAAGGAAACTCCTCTCTGTAAAAACAACAAAAAAGTTGCAATGTAAATAGTTATTTTAGCTATTTTCTTTGTGATTAGAGGATAAGATTTTGTTATTTCTTTTGGTACTTAGTCCTTTAACTATCTGAAAATGGCTCACTTTGACCTGTTTCTTTGGTCAGCCAAACTGAAGTGAGGGGCCTCTGTTTATATATAGAATCTTGTATATGTAACTTTACTTATGTGGGACCAATGGCCAGTATATTCTAATGGACACAAATCTCCCAATCCTTATGTAGGATTATCTGTTCACCTTGCCATGTCCATCTTGCAATGAGACCTAACTTGCACCTGCCTGTTTTTCTGCATGATTGGACTCCAAAGACTATTACCAATGATGAGAATTGTCTTGTGTCAGTGTTTATAAAATGGACTTAAAGCACACACACATGCATACCCACATTCACATGCACCCTTACAGTTCTAGATCAACCCTGGAAGGCAAAACCATGTACGTCCAGTTTCTTTGCAAGGTCTGAGCAGTGAGAACTAAATTCAGTCAGTCTAATGGGTAAAATGCAACCTCAGTGATGCTTAATAAGGATTTGAAATCGTTCAAGTCATTTCTGTGTTCTTTCTCACACCCTTTCCTTTCTATTTTGTCTTCTTTTATTTTCAAAATGTCTGTGGAACAAGAGGATGAATCGGGGGAGAACTTCTGCTTCTTTTGACTCTTTTTAGGTAATATGGAGTCAATATATTATGATTTCTGTTTCTTATGGATTATTAAAATCAGAGGAAATCTGCTTCTCTCAACATAAAACCAAATCCAAACCCAGACATTGTTGGAGTTTGCCTGTTGACAATGGTTATGATGCTGCTCGTTGTCTTGAGTTGCATGTAACGACAGTAGCTCTGAAGGGTGTCATGATTTCATTTTGGCAACTGGTAAAAGAAACTTGTAGTGTGGTCTGATTGTGCCAGGGAATAAATAAGAAATAAGGAATGACCTACTTTCTCACCTTGGGTCAAGAGTGTGTGATATGAATGTGACCATGTAGAAATCTGTGTTTTCATTTGACACTGGTTTCTTCTAAAACTGACCTTCATTTCTGTCTGTAGATACTAGTTGTATATCTGCAATTCAGTAATTTCTTTTTAAGGTATAAAATCAATGAAGAAAAAAAAGATCATCTTTTGGGGGGGCATTAGGTAAGTAGAGCAGGGTTAAATTTCCCAGATTAATTATCAGATTTCTATTCATTTTAACTATTTTCCAAGAGAAAAGGTAAAAGCCTTTGTTTAGCTACATGATATCCAACTTTACTATCTCAAACTCCTTGGAGAATTAAAAATATATATGATTTTGTGGCTGGATGAAGAGGTCACTGCACTTGCATTAGTTTACTTTGCAGTGTTTGAACAGTTGAGGAGTGGCTCTTCTATTTCTGTAAATAATGTTTTATTTAACCAATTAACTATTAGAAAGCCTGGAAGATAAACATACACATTATTTTGAGTTATCACATTTATCGTTTTACCTAGTTCCTGTTGGAATATAGAAAGCAACAGCTTTTTGTTATCTCTGGAACAGCTTCTATCCTAGTTTAAATCACAGATCCTTACTCTCTTTAAAAAAGGTCAAGCATAGGTACCTAAAAATACCCACAATAATAAGAAGGGAAATTGCATTCCACAAGATGATTGCTCTTAAAGAGTCAGAAGGAGTTATTGGTGCATTCCTGATACCATAAATGGTTACCAAACATTTGGTAATTTTGACCAAGTTCACAGTAAGGAGAAAAAAGGGTGTTGGACTTGCTTTTCTTGAAGATTACTTATGGAGCAACCAACCTAGAAGGATGAATCTACTTGCCAATAACAACACTGGATCACAGCCAAGGCAGAGGTTTTTGACATTCCCAATTCATCATGGTGGTGTTTTGTATTTGTAACATGTCTTTTCTCCACAGATGTTGAAAGGCATGCTTGGATGACACATGCTAATAGTGAAACACGCTGAAAGTCCTGCCATCACAGATCACTTTATGTTGGGAGCCACTCTATGTGGCAAGTCATCTGTCCCAGTTCCAGACTAAATTTCAACTGTTCAACCATTTACATCATTGTAGTCTGTTTAAGGCACTAAAAATGTGCTGTAGAAATTTATATTTCTCAGACACATGAAATGTGGTGACACATCCAGCAACAAGTCAAACACTCCTTTGAAATTTTCTACCTTATGTCAAATATTTCTTACTTTTAAAGACATTCCTATCCTGGTGTAAAATCCAACATAAAATAATTTGAGGGAATTTAAGGAATTCAAATTTCACTCCGTGGGGTACGTGGCTTTATTTCTTAATCACTGAACTTCTAGTAATGTTCTTCACCTGATCTTGTCTGCGATGTTTAACCAACAGTCCAGATCATTTGCAACTCAAAAGCAGGTACAAAATGTTATCCATCTTAAAAACCCCTCACATATTCCCTAGAAGACTGTCCCACACATAATTCGCCTTCCATTAACACTTGTGAACCCATCCTGGTGAAAATATTGCCTATGAACAATTATACCAAAAAATCAATTTTTATAATGCAAATAATATTTTACACAGACCAAGAGAATTCATAATATTAAAGTATTTCTTTTATAAAAGGAAGGTTTTCAGAAAGCAATGGCCTATTCCTTCATGTTAATACATTGCGAACTTGGATTTGGTGTAAATCAAGCCCTGAGAATATTGCTCTGAATTTCTAGCTTAATTTCTGAGCAACATTCTAAAGCAGTTCATTAATTTACTCCAAAAACATTTCTTGGACACTTCGGTGTAGGAGATATATATTGCATGGTCCTTAACCTAAAAAATTCAGAGTTAATAAATCTTTGTTTAAAAAAACTAAAGCAAATATTTTTATTTCATTTATTTGCTATCTTTTTACAAAATGTATTTAAATTAGTGGTGTGACTTGCACGAGTCCATTTTTATTATTTGCTTAAAGCGATGAAACAAGGAGTCTGCTTCTTTCAATGTTCTTATTTTGTCTAATTATATAAGTATACTTCATGAATCAGCATGAGAATTTTGAATATTTTCCATTACAAGAGATGAAACCACTTTTAAAAATTATTTAAAATTTAAAATTCATTTTAAAAATGCATGGATGTTCTTTTCCGCATTGCAGAAAGTTTGCTTTGATGTATGGTTCCTCTGAGAGCTATTGGACCTAGATGCTGACTGAGCATGGGGCTTATACTTTTGGCATCACAATCTCCAAATTAGCAAATGATATCACAATGGGTACTGAAGCTTCTTTGCAGTGACATTCTTACATGAAGCCAAATCTTCGGAGTTTGTTCAGTCTATGGGTGACTGTTGGAACCCTAAAATAACTTAAAGTAGAATTTGGTCATTTATTGTTTTTTTTTATTAAAAGGTCCAACTGAGAACATCCCTGAACATCTGAACCAGAAATTTGACATAGAGCTCTAAATATTCACTCATTCATTCATGCAACAAATATTTATTTATCAAGCACGTCAACCATCCAAGGACTGTTCTAGGTACACATAGTTGATGTGATGAAGTCAGCAAATCTGCCTTCACATGGTCTGCATTCTAGTGGAGAAGTCAGATAGAGGTAAGTACGAAGACCACAAAGCAGGTTAAAAAGTAAGGTGGGAAAGGGATGCTATTTTAGACAAGGTGGTCAGGGCAAGCCTCTCAGAAGAGGGGATAAGTGCTCAGAGACCTGACTGAAGTGAGAGTGAGCTATTGACACGGAGAAGGGCATTTCAGACTCTGAAGAGAAAGCAGGGGCAGGCTTTGGAGGGAGAGCTTGTTTATATAGACAAGGAGGGGCAAAGAGTCTTGTGGATAAAGCAGAATGAACAAGAGTAAATGGGATTGTAAATGAAATTGGAGAGAGAAGCAGGGGTCAGAGCATGGCAAGATCTTGAGATTTGATTCTAAATATGGGAAGATGGTGGTTAGATTTGAAAAAGGAAATGATATAAGCTAAATTTTCTTTTTAAAAGGATTCCTTTGGCTACTGAGTAAAGAGGACTCTTAGGAAGAAAGATAAGAATGGGGACAAAAAAATCCATCGTAGGATAAAACATTAATCCAGAAAGACATGATGGGGCTTAGACTAGGAAAAGGAGATGGTGAGAAGGATTTGAATTCTGGACCTATTGTGAAGGCAGAGCTGAGAAGATTTGCTGATAGATTGATATTGTGATATAAAAGCAAGAGATCAGAAATGGCTCTAGATTCTTTTACCTAAACCATGAAGTAAATGATGGTACAGTTGACTGAGATGATGAACAATGGGTTAGAAAAACATTGGGGAGAAAATCATGTTTGTTTTTGGAATATCAGTTGGAGATGTTTATTAGATATCCAAGTGGAGGCCGGGCACGGTGGCTCACGCCTGTAATCCCAGAACTTTGGGAGGCCAAGGCAGGCAGATCATGAGGTCAGGAGATCGAGACTATCCTGGCTAACATGGGGAAACCCCATCTTTACTAAAAATACAAAAAATTATCTGGGTGTGGTGGCATGTGCCTGTAGTCCCAGCTACTCAGGCTGAGGCAGGAGAATTGTTTGAACCCGAGAGGCGGGGGTTGCAGTGAGCCGATATCAAGCCACTGCACTCCAGCCTGGGTGACAGAGTGAGACTCTATCTCAAAAAAAAAAAGAAAAAAAAAAAAAATCCACGTGGAGTAGCAGGAGTGTCTTATAAGCTGGAGTTCAAGGAAGAGGGTGAGCTGAAACAGAAATCTGAGAGTAATCAGTTTATAAGTAGTATTAAAAGCCAAGAGCCTGTATGAGCCCACCAAAAGACAGTGTAGTTAAAGAAGAGAAAACCAAAGATGGAGATGCCTCTCACTCCAACATACAGACCTCAGAAAACAGGAGGGTATTCCAGAATGTTCAGTGAGGTAGAGGGAAAACCAGGAGTGTGCTGTCCTGGAAGCCAAGTAAAGAAGGTGTTTCAAAAGTGAGAGAATGGGCAGGGGCGGATTGTTATTGAGAGGCTGAGTAAAATGGGAACTGAAGATTCACAGTTGGACTAAATCTGTTTGAAGGTCATCGATGACCCCAATGAGAGCAGTTTCTATCCAGTATTGAGCAAGAAAAGAGTAACTCGAGTGAGTTCAAGAAAACATGGGAAGTAAGGAAGTAGAAATAGATACAGAAAATTCAAAATATTTTTCTACAAAGTGCAGCAAAAGAATGATGTAAACGTTGGAGATAAATGTGAGATTGAGAGATTTTTTTAAAAGCTAATATAGCATGGGTAATAGTGCTGGTGGGGCCAACAGAGAGATAGCAAAACTGATAATGCAAAAGAGAAAGGGATATTTATTTGATAGAGTAACATGCTTGAAAAGGGTGGAGGGACAGGCTCCAGTACATGGGCAGAGGCGCTGGCCCTGGACAGTAACTGCAGCAGGCAGTGAGGTGGTGTGCACAGAGGCAGGTAGTTTGGGAATACGGTGACGTGATGGGCATAAGTACATACTCATCTGATTTTTTTTTTTGTTGTCTCAGTAAAGATAGAAGTAAGGTTGTCAGTAGACAATGAAGAGTTTGTGGAAGTTTGAGAAGTGTGAAATTGACCTTGGAAACTGTGACAATAAGTTACTGGACAGTGATGAAAACCATGTGAGCCATATTAATATAAATACAAAGGAACACAGGTCAACTTGGTGGTCTTTTGTTCTCCAGTCATGTTTAGTTTTTTTAGGCACAGGTTAAGAGTAAGAAAAAATTACTAGAGTTGCAATTTGTTTCTTTTTAATTCTCAAAAGAGTAGTACAGTGCTGGGAGAGTACATAATGGGATTTGGAAATGGGGGCAAGAGAATAATTATGAGAAGGAACCATAGAAGCTAAGCTGGTCAAGGAGGGAAGTAATGAAATGGGGGATGATAGTCGCTGAAAACTTACCAATTTGGAGTGATGGTGCTAAGGGGAGTGACTAGAGAGAGAAGAAGTGATGACCACAGCGTGGGATGCTTGAAATGGAACTGTTGGCGATGCCAGTGATTAGTCATGACACAGTACGCAGTGTAACCATGAGTGTGGTGGCTGATGTTCAGGCAGCGGCAGAACAAGATTTTCAAAAGTCGTCAAGGAGCTGAGTGGCCAAGATGGTGAATGGAGTATGAGTGGGGAGGGTGAGTGGGTTAGGTGCTAGAATATTCAGTCAATGATAAGGAGACATGTGCTTGTAAGAAGGTCATTAGAGAGGAAGAAGGATTAAAGGTCTGAAAGTAGCTGCAAATAGCAAAGCAAGATGTCTCCCCTTCAGGCCAATGATACGCAGGTTGTAGAGAGGAAGATAGCTAGGCTTGAGAGGGCTGCAGGGAAGATGGTGTCTTCAGGAGGCAACCATGATTCAGAGAAGAGGACATAGGGGAGGGTGATGGCATTGTAAGATCTAGAGGGGATAATGGAAAAGTCCTAGGCAGGGGGAGGCCATTGGAGATAGAAGCAAATGAGAGAATACACTGGGCAATATGGGGATAAGCAAATAGATGAAGGAAAAATGGCATGGGAACTTGGACTATTTTGGCAACAGGTAACCAGCGATGAGGGTCTGATGGCATGACCCTGGGGATCACTTCAGTGTGGTGCATAATTAATCTAGTGAATCATGAGGGGGTAGGGAACAGGGAATGGGTGTGTGGAGAAGAGAGAGTTGGGATGGACATCCTCTATTCGCAAGAACAGGTGGGATGCTCGGGGCCTCCCCCAGAAGTAAGAGACAGTTTTGCTCAAAGAAAATGATGCCAATTTGGTTTGCCCCCTAACAATTCACTGTTCTCCTGTTGCCCTCATTCCCTATTTAAGAAAAGGCTGGCCTCACTGTGGCTTATCCTTCAAGAGGCCATACAGACAGCAGCTATACAGAAGTTCATAAATAAGGAGTATCATTCAAACCTGGACCTGAGCCACAAATGGTGCTTTAAAAACCACACTTTTCATCAGCTAAACTTTTTACTGAAAGATCTACAGTAGGTTCAGTAGATTTTAGCTGCCTGGGGAACTGTTAGTTCTCCAAGTCACTTCAGAGCAAGAGGCCCTTAAGCTGGGCAGTTCTAACTTTCAACTCATTCCCCACTTGTGCAGTTAAGAAGACTATAAAGAGAATAATGAAACAGACCTTTGGGAGCCACAGTTCCAGCACTCCTTTCCTGTAGTTTGTGAGTTCAAACAAGGCAAAATGTTTCCAGCTCTGGATGCTTTCTCTGAATAAGAGAGTAGAAGCCGCGTGGGTACTAAGTGTGTTTTCAGGTCTCATGACGTGCTGCTAAGGTGTTAGGCACAATGCCATCTTGATGGCATGAACTTGGTAGGTCATGTTTATTTTATTGAAAAGACTCCCTAGGGTCTACCCTGAAGGCACATTTGCCATGCTGTTCCATGGGCTAGGAAGGCCCCTTACCAAAACTGCAGCTCTGTCTGATGACTTCCTACTGGTCTTTAGGACTCACACCAAAGTCACGGCTCTGCAGTGCTCTCCTGAGCTTCACCTTTATGGTCTCTTTAGTTACTTCCACAGCACATCATATAACATGGCAATAACTGTAAGTTTATGTACCCCAGAGGACCTAGTCCACAGCCCTCAGTTTATTCATGATAGCCCTCAGAAACATTCATTGTATTTTATCCAATACCTTTAACACCCAACATCATCTTTAGTGTAGACATGGATAGAGTTGATGAAGGACAGTTACACGTAGTTGTTTAGACATGATTTTCAGATCATGGATGTAATTGTATTATCTCAGAAAGAAAGAGTGGTTTGGGTTACTTTCCTTGCCATCAATCCCTGGCAGATTATCTGGGCACGGATAAACTTAAGAGTCTCTGAGACCAAGATATAATTATATCCTGTGCTGGTGATCATGATACTTTTAATGCTGGTCATATCCCTGAGTCCAGAACCTTGCTACGTTCCTTAGAAGCTGAAACACTCTTTCAACAGAAATAATTTGAGGGCTGATAGTTTCCATTTAGTGAGCACTTACTATGTTCCAGGCACTATGTTAATCCCTTCACCTATTGTACTACATTCCTCATAAAAATATGATAAGGGAGGAACTATTAACTCTACTTCCAGAAAAAAACAAATTTAGGCTTATATATATTACATAATTTAGGTTCATAAAGCTATGAGGTGGCAGAGCTGGGTTTGAACCCTGGTCGTAGATTCCAAAACTCATGCGTATGGTACTCTAATCAGAGTGCAGCTCTGCAGTGTAAGGAACACTGGGGTTTGCGGCAAGCATTACATTATTTAATGCTCTCCTGAATTTTCAAGGTGTCATAATTATATCAATAATATAAACTACCCAGCCTGGGAATGATTTTTTGAAGAATATCCCAGCTTGAGAATCAATGGGAATGATTACTTAAACTCCACCTGGAGATTTTAGTCATTTCATAATGTTACATATAATAAAATCATGTTTCAGTAGAGCTGACATCATAGGCAATTCTACCTTAAATGTTCTCCAAAGGATACCCAGACATCTAGTTTGAATAGTGAGGCTAACACAGTAGGCCCCACATCTGAAAGCAAATCCTTTCTCGAGTTTATAACTTAAGATTCATTTTAATTACCTAAATAGTTTTAAAGAGGCATATACAGGATGTAGCAAATGAAATCTTGATACTACCTAACTACTTTGTATCCTTATTGATTTCCAATTTATTCTTATGTTAATTGTACTTAATATTGTCTAGGCTTTTTATTTGACTAACGGAAACCCAGATGAACATGCTGCTCATGGTATCCATTGATTAGTGCCATCATCACTGAAATTGACAATTAAAATTGATAATATCATCCCTCAAATATCACAGGCCACAAAACACCCTGTGTGTGTGTGTGTGTTTGAGTATATTTGCATTCCCAAAAATTACTGCAAACTCACTGTGCTGACATTCTCTTTGGCATAAGGCATGGAGGGATTTAACAGCAAGAAGATACAATCTTGGCCCCTTAAGAAGCTCCATTTATCAATAGAGTTATCAGTGGAGCAAAGTGACAGGCACCGGGATAAGCACATTACATACCACCATTAACCACGGCAACATCCCTACTTTGTAGGAGTTATTATCTCCACCTTGTAGATGAGATCAGACAAGTCAAGTTACCTGGCATTGCCATGTATCTTGCATAAGGCATGTTGAGAGGCAGATCTAGGTTTGAATGGCTCTCAATTTTCTGCTATTTCCACTTCATCACTCTCCCTCCTAAATTGCTTCTTATTTGATAAAGAAAATAATCAGATGTGGGAAAGACAGAAAGAGATAATGCGAATGGGGGCACAAAAAGCAACTAACACTGATTTGAGATTCTGGGAAGCTTCATGAGGAAACTGACATTGATTTGGCTCTTAAAGGATGTTTGGAGCATGCCAGCTAGAAAGAAGGCAAGCAAGAAGGACACAACAATAGCAAGTGGAAAGTTCTAGAGGTATGAAATGGCATGGCAGGTGTGGTGGGAAGTGGTAGGAGACAAGAATGAAACTGGCAGTAGGACCTTTTACACTATGTGAAGGGCTTTGTCCTGGGCAAGTGACAGTCATCATATGTAATGAGCAAGATCAAGCTATGGTCAGATGAATAATTTCGAAAAGGCAGCCTGCAAAGGACAAAAGTACAGGAGAGATGCTGGAACAAAACGCGCTGGGTAGGATGCCTTCATCAAAAGGTAAGGGAAAAGTGATTAAAGAGAGCAGATTAAAAAGGCAAAGATGAGTGGAATAGATTAGCTGGTGAGCAAATTTATGAGTGAAGAAGTGGGTAGAGAAGAAAAATATGAGTTGGCTGGGCGCGGTGGCTCACGCTTGTAGTCCCAGACAAATTAAGTGACCCGTCATTGCTATGCATCTTGCATAACTTTTGGGAGGCTGAGGAGGGCAGACAGCTTCAGCCCAGGTGTTTGAGACCAGCCTGGGCAATATGGCGAAACCCTGTCTCTACAAAAGAAAATACAAAAATTAGCTGGGCATGGTGGCGTATGCCTGCAGTCCCAGCTACTCGGGAGGCTGAGGTGGGAGGATCACCTGAACCTAGGGAGGTCAAGGCTGCAGTGAACCGTGATCATGCCACTGCACTCCAGACTGGGTGACAGAAGGAGACAGTGAGACTGTCCCCCCACAAAAAAAAAGAAAGAAAGAAAGAAAGAAAATATGCGTTAACATTTATGGAGTCTTTTTTTTTTTTTTTTTTTTTTTTTAGACGGAGTCTCGCTCTGTCGCCCAGGCTGCTGGAGTGCAGTGGCTTGATCTTGGCTCACTGCAAACTCTGCCTCCCGGGTTCACGCCATTCTCCTGCCTCAGCCTCCCGAGTAGCTGGGACTACAGGCGCCCACCACCACACCCGGCTAATTTTTTGTATATATATATATATATATTTTTTTTTAGTAGAGACAGGGTTTCACTGTGTTAGCCAGGATGGTCTGAGTCTCCTGACCTCGTGATCCGCCCGCCTCGGCCTCCCAAAGTGCTGGGATTACAGGCGTGAGCGACCATGCCTGGCCCCTTTTTGGATTCTACTAGCAGCTGTGCTCAGCCTAACCCAAGCTATCTCATTAAGACCACATAACAACTCTATGGGAGTAGTATTTTTATTATTCCAATTGCACAGAGGAAAAAAAAAGTTATGCATAGAAGGTTCAGTAACAGCTGGCAAATTGTATACCATTTGAACCCAAGCAGTTTGAATATCTTTGTTTTTTTTACTAGTGCATCATATAGCTTTCTGGATGAGTCTGAGGTTTTTATCAACTATGATAAGGACTGGAAATAGGTGAAAAGATATGAAGGGAGAGTTATTAAGATCAATTTTCATATTTTGAGTTTGAATTTCCTATCGTATGTCCAGGTGGAAGTAACTGGTTAAATAATTGGAAAGAGAGAGAAAAGGGAATTAAAGAAATTATTGCTATAAAGATACTGGTTGATACCATAGGACCACAGACGCTTGCTCAGTGGGAGAGTAAAAAATAAAAGCAAGACAGTGGCAAGGATGAAAGCAGTACAGACCACTTTCCCTCTTGAAAATAAATAAACACATGCAAGCATTGAACCTTCAAACAACACAAACCCCATAAACTCAAGTATGTAGTCTCTATTTCCGATTATGCCTTTTGTAACTTTTTGTTCTACGGTGAGAAAGATTATTTGCCTGGCCTCTCAAAACCATTGCCTTATTGTGAAGAACTGTTCTCCCAAAACTCTAGCTCCAAAGAGCCCTGGGTTTTTCTAGAAAATTAGCATTGCTGAGGTTCCCATATTTGCTAAAATTGGAACTTTAGGCATTCACCTTTTAAAATTATTGTATGTTTTAACAGGAAAGTGATACTGTCAAAATTAGAAGCAAAATGGTTTGTTTCTTCTAAACTTTTCTCCTTCTCCTGCAGCCTGGCCCCCTCCCACTATCTTCTTGCTGCAAACCAACTTTGCCAGCTGTAGTAGGGAGAGAATCCCAGATGGCAATAGCCTGAGTGAGAAAAAAATGTCACTACGTGACATATACTCTAGCAGTTTCACTCAGAGGGAAACAGTAATACCATTTCACTGCTGGTATTCTAAAGTGCAGTTGTTGGGAGATGGGAGAGGTTTGAGTGGGAGACAGGTGCTCACGTGGGCATGGTTTAGCAAGCATTGTTTCCCAGTACCTAAGTAGCAGGAGAATTCCTCTAAAACTATCCAGCAGTTAAAGAGATTCGGTCCAGAGGGACAGAGTAATTCAAAGCCTGAATCGTTAAATGCCATTCTTTACCATTTTTTCTTTTCTAAGGAGCATCCTGCATTGGCGATACGCACTGAGGATCTGGCAAGGTAGACAGTGGGCCTCAGAAAGGGACTTTCTCATGGAGTCTCAAAGTTCCTATGTCAAATCGCCTCGCAAAAGCAAAACTGAGTGGTGCCAGGGGAAGAATTTTAAAAGCAGCTCAAAGGTTCCTGGTGATTCGACTGTATTTTATAAAACTATTTACATTTCTCTTTTTGGTCATGACAAAGTCTATTGGCACAAACAGCACAGCCACAAAGTATTCTTCTGATTTTAATAACTCATATATTTATATATATATTTATATTTTTGCTTATCTTCATTTCCTCAGCAAAAAAGGGAAATAAAAATATTGATCTATAAAATAAGCCGATGATAACACAATGCCAAAAATAGCTTATGTTAAGTGCAAGGGGTGAAGCTTGAAAGCAAGCTAAATTGCAACAACATATTGATTTAACATTTAAATACAAGACTTGCAATAAAATAATTCTTGAAATATGCTTCTCATTTTTAGTTTACTTTTGAAAAACTACTCTATATACACATATCCAGTTGTAACACTTGACAGTAGCATTATGGGGCATGATATAACTTTGGTACACATTGCAGATATGGATGTTTAATGTCTGTAAATGATATTCCTTCACCAGTTAGACTTCTGTACATCCAGGTGACCAGCCACCTGGTTCTAAGTCATATCCCACCAGAATCCCTGGAGTCCTTGCCAGAGCCATCAGAGACAGCAGGCGAAAGCAGGCTCACTGAATCCATATTGTGTTTCCTCTCTCGGTTCTCCTGGGTTCCACTGTCAGTTCTCCAAACGTGGAAAAAAACTGCTCCATTTCTTTCTGTAGCATGTCATTTCTTTTCTCGGCATCTTCTTTTGCTCGCTCGGCATTTCGCATTTTTATTTCTATCATTGTGAACTTTTTCCTCTCCTGATCCAGTTCATCATGGAGGCTCATCATTTCTGTTTCCAAAGTCAAGTTTCGCTGTTCTAAGCTACAAAGGATGTTGGGGGGGGTGGGGGGTGGGGACGCAAGAGTAAGAGATAAAGTGATTTTATTCACTTGAAATGCAAGAGACATACAAATATTTTCTAAACTCTTTATGATGCTTAGGAAATTGGAATAAAGCCCTTTCAATGATTTAAAGGATGTAATTTTGTTGTATTATTTTACTGTTTGCTAAGATGATTTACTGTCACCTTAGTCATTAGGTCCCAAGGCCTCTCTTGGAAGCAGCTGTCATTTAATAGTAAATAAGTGAATGCCAGCACAGATAAGCCAGTAACACATGCCGGGCAGACGAGGCAGAAAGCTTCCTGGACATTAAATTGTAAAGTTCACTACACTAAATGCAGCAGGAAAGTCTGATAGTTAACAAAAAAAAAAAAAAAAGAGGGCAATAACATTTGCCTTCTATAAAAGGAAAAATAGTGATAGGAAAATGTCATTGTTGGTTAAGTTCACTGCTAAGAATGGGGTTTTTGGCAGCATATAGAGTCCCATCTTATAAAAGAGTACCCAAAGTAATGAGCTTACATTGATACGAGAGGTAAAGATCACATGTGTTAAATAAGCACTGCATCTCATATTTTGTAAAAATAAAGCCCATTCCTTTCCATCCCCAATTCTCACTGCTTCCCAAGTTATTAATATAGCTCTGGGCATAGGTATTTTATATCTCTATAAATTGATAGTTGTTTTGTATAGCTTTTGGATAATTGTAGAATTCGCAGTAACGTTTTTAAAAACAGAGACTGTTTTCTCCATAACCACTAAGATCCAAATCATATACATATATTATTCAAAAGAGGGGTATTAAAGTTACATCTTTATTTAAGATGTATCTTGGCCTCGGCTGACTTTTTAATTTCTCCTATTCTGAGCAAAAGTCCCATGGGACTCATTCAAACTTACCATACCACTGAAATTTGAAAGGTTAATGCATGTGTAGCTCTCAGATATCTGATTATTTTAATAACAGTTTTTAAATTAAAATCTCAATTATGTTTCTGCTTTGAAAAATTTGATCCCCACATGTTGATATTTCATCCAGATAATAAGAACACTTAAAAATTAATCTTCCTTCTCTTTGTAAGCAACTAGAATTTTAAAAAATAATACTTCATATTTTGTAATCCTACATCATTTAGAAGGCTATTTTAAACATATGACCACATTTTTACATGAAAAGTTGGTACTATGCTGGTTTCCACTCAGAATTATTCTACAATATATTCTCTTTGTTTTCCAAAGCTATTTTAGAGCCAAAATTTTGGAAGAAATTGAAATTAAAATACTGAGAAGGACAACCCTTACAAAACAATATATTGACACATTTGTATGTATCAGGTGCTTGTGGGAAACTTCCAGGAATGAAAAGGACTAAGTTGAATACAGAAGAAATCCCTCCCAATGCAAACATATAAAAGTGCTGGAAAAGTTTTAAGAAATATATTTTTAAAATACATCATCAAGGTTAAAATAAAACAGCAGCTTCAGCCATCAGAACCAAGGAAGAAACCGAAATATAGAACAATAAGTAGAAGCACACGAAGGATATTAGTCTTGGATAGAGGCCACAGAGCTTGGGTCTAGGTTTTTCTTTTTCACATGGGGACAGAAGGTGAGGCCTCCAGTATTAGGCAGGCAGAAAACTACAAGTAATTTAACTGAGAGCTTGGAACATTAACTGTTTTTATGAAGAAGAGACTACAAAATCTCCAATCATGGGCCTGGGGAAGTATCAGAATTGAATTAGCTCATCAGAGTATTAGTAAGCTACAAAACAGGTCTGAGAAAAGTTACCTAGAATGCCTCAAAAATGATAATTATAGAAATTTAATATGGAAAAAAGAAGTTAACAAAGACAGAGGATAGATTAACAAGGTCAAACATAGCTTAATAAGGGTTCTGGAAAGAGAAAATTGAGAAGGTGGGAAGATGAAATAGACAAAAAGATGATGAAAAAAATATTCCAGAATTGTAAAGATGTAAGTTGTTAGATCAAATCATCAAACAAAGTTTGAAAGTTAAATAAAGGAAAAGACATATCAGGAAGTTACTAATCAAAGGAAGATGGTAGGACAATATTAATATCAGAAAAAATAGAGTTTCAGGTAAAAAGCATTATTACAATGAAAAATAGGCACTAATTAATGATAAAAGGATCAATTCTTCAGGGAGATATGAACAACTCCAAACTTCTATTCACCTAGTAGTAGAGCCTCAAATTGTTCAATATAAAATATGACAAAATTATAAAAAGAAACTGATAAACTCAGAATACTGATAGGAAATTTTAAAGTATCTTTCTCAAAAATTATTGATATAGCTGATAAAAATGAGAAGAAATACAGAAGCTTTGAATAGCCTGATTAACAGACTTGATCTCTTGGTCATATATAGAATCCCAATCCAGTAATAAGGGAATAGTTTTAATAGACCAAATAATTAATATCATCCAGATGAACTTCTCTGACCACAATACAATATTTCCTAAGAAAATTGTTAGAAACTAGCTGAGTGCCATGGCTTATGCCTGTAACCCCAGCACTTTGGGAGGCCGAGGTGGGTGGATCATTTGAGGTCAAGAGCTCAAGAGCTGCCTGGCCAACATGGTAAAACCCCTGTCTCCACAAGAAAAAAAAAAATTATCCAGTCATGATGGCATGCATCTGTAATCCAAGCTACTCAGGAGGCTGAGGCAGGAGAATCGCTTCAACTTGGGAGGCAGAGGTTGCAGTGAGCCAAGATTGCATCACTGCACTCTCCAGCGTGGGCAACAGAGTGAGACTCTGTCAAAAAATAAAACATAAAAAAAAATAAGAAAAGAAAAAGTTAGAAACCAATTTGGAGAGGGAAAAAGAATATATGTTTCAAAACTAAAAACCATATATCTCACTGACTGATAATTAAAGTAAAATATTATCTATCTGTCTACCTACCTCCCTACCTATTTACCTACCTACCTATCCATCCATCCACCCTCAATACTTGTGGGGTAAAGTTATAAATGATTTAAACATATATCTTATTGATAATTAAACAAAGTAAAATATTATCTATCTATCTATCTATCTATCTATCTATCTATCTATCTATATCTATCATCTATCTATTATCTATCTCTCTATCTATCTATCTATCATCTATCTATCTATCTATCATCTACCTACCTACCTACCTACCTATTTACCTACCTACCTATCTATCCATCCATCTACCTTCAATGCTTGTGGGGTAAAGTTATAAAGGAATTTAAAGAAAAATGAATAACTCTAAACAGAAATGATCAAAATTTAGCCAGAACAGTTAACTTTCTATAATTTCATGGCTAGGCCACGAGCGGTCCCCCACCCTCCACCCTACTGCAGAGCTCTCCCTTGGCCTGTCATGAGGGTAAGAATGTGACACTGAAATGGCCCATTAAGATGACCTCTATTGGGAAGTTCTATCAGTTTATCAAAATCTCTGAAATATACCGTAGATCTCAGAACATATATGCATCAGCAACATCCTCAGAAATGAATGTATCCATCTGCAAATTCATAGTGATAACTTTTTTCTTTTTCTACTACATTTAAAGTGTGACCCCTTGCCTCAAAATATAAGCTTCCCAGTGTGAAATGCTAATTTATCATCATGGATTGGCAGTAATTCAGAATTCCAATACATAGTGGTTCCAAAAACTACATTCAGAAAGAAGAGTAACCTTTTAAGATAATGACCCTATATTTTTCTTTAAATCTCCTGTCACTCTCCATTATATAGAAAAATTCAAACCACAATTCCACTCAGTGAAACTTACCAAAAAAATACTTTCCAAGGAAGTAATTTTTCAATCTCATTTATAAGTAGTATTTTTTAATATTTATTTTGCCATAGCTTCTGAAAGTACGTTATCTTTTTGTCTGATAATTGATGAATGGATAGGAAACATATTAAGGTAAATTAAAGCCAACTTAACAACCAACTGAGGATCCTAGCACACCATGGAGGAAGGGTTGTCCAAATCACACAGCCTGAAACTGGGACTGAGAACACTAGAGGAGCTACTCCTACTTTGATCATTTTATGAGAAGATGCACATTGATATAATTAGGTTTTAGCATAATTGCTTCTTTATAAATCATATTCTTTTTTCCTCATTTAGGCTACAGTCTTCCTTATTCATGTGAACATACTTCACGTCACCCCTCTTCTCAAAAACCTCCATGGATTTCTATCTCAGAGTAAAAGTCAAAGGCTGAAAATCAGCCTGTCAATCCCCTATGTCACCTGGCTCTTATGGCCTCTCTCAGCTCATCTGAATCCTCAGCGTCTGGAACAGAGCCTGGCAGATAGAAGGCACTCTCTCAACATTCAATGATTGAAAGAATAAAACATGGAGGTCTATTTACTTCTACTTTTTTTACCCTAGTTTCATCCTTTTCTTGTTAGTGAAAACTAACAGGCTCCTAATGCTCTGTCCATCTCCTCACAGCCCCTCTCCTTCCAGCCCTCTAATGCAAATCTATCTATTTAATAATAATCAAAGATGACATTATTGAGCCTATTCTGTACCAGGGAAATGTTCAATCACTTCTTATGTGCTTTTGAGGTAGATACTACTAGTATTTAAATTGTTTACATTAGGGAATCAAAGCTCACAGAGATGAAGCTAACTTGCACACAGTCACAAAGCTCATAAATGATGGAGCAAACTTGTGTTTCTTTGACTTTGGAGCCAGCATATGTCACCCTCAGTGTGATCCTGTCCCACAGTAGGAGGCTACTGAGCCCTCTCTGGTAGTTACGACCTCCAGATTTTCCTTACCTCTTTATCCTGGACTCATACTCTATCTTCTGTTTGGTCATTTCCTGTTTCAGGCTGGAAACTAAACTGTGCAGTGCACTGTGGTTGCTGCTGCTGTTGCCCACAAATGTCTCACTGTTGTCACTGCTACTGGTGGCACGACTACTTCGACCTCCCACACTCCTGTGGTCACTTTTGCTTTCATAGTCCCTGGGGTGGGAAAGGTCGTCCTGCGGGGGCCCATCCAAAACAGGGTCCTCAAAGTTCCCCCCAAAAAAGTCTTGCTCTGGGCAGGTGGTGGTAGAAGAGCGACAGGAGTTGGAGTTCTCAGGGAGGGAGATTTCACAGGAGGAAGTGGACCAGG
This sequence comes from Homo sapiens, assembly GCF_000001405.40. Lineage (NCBI taxonomy): Eukaryota > Metazoa > Chordata > Mammalia > Primates > Hominidae > Homo > Homo sapiens. Next base: position 85,995,314 of record NC_000004.12, on the reverse strand, counting down.
TAGCACTGTCAATGCTCTGCTTGTCATCAAGGTTCATCATGGAGAACTGTTGATGGACATTATCATAGGTGGACAGTCTGTTGTGCTGGCCTAACTCTCCAGCTTGTTCTTTCTGCTTGTTATCCCTCAGGGTCACATAGCCATTTGGCAGCCAGCTCATGTTTCGAACATTTGTGGGGTTCCCGAGTGTGTCGCTGTTCAAAATGCCCATGCGCACCGTTCCATTCTGTACACTGTGCGTGCCCATTTTGGTACCAGATACCTTCAGTGAAGAGCTCCTTCTGGCCTGTAGGCTCCCATTGGGGGTGGTTTGGGTTTTCTCAAGACCTTCTGCATTACTGCTGCTGAAGGACCCATTGGTAACTATCCCACTACCCTTATTAAAGGCTGGGTTCTTTTTGACCATGAGAGGGGGGCTTCTAGACACATCTAGCTTGTGAACACTGTTCTTTGGGCTGTTGGTTTTGCTGCCTGATAGAGCTGTGGGGGATCCATTGTTCATGCTGCTTCTCTGGGGTGACTCAGACTTGTCCCAGGAGCACTGCCTACTAGGGCTGTCCTTGGTGTTATTGTTCTCCTTGTTCTGTAACTGCCCCATGGTGGCTTTCTTCTGAATTTCATTGTTGTTGCTCACTCCATCTTGGGGCTTGCTTTGTAGTTCTGCATCTTTGGGAAAGAGGCAATCATGTTTGCTAATCATCACTGACATCAACTGCTGGACCACCACAGTGCCTAGAATTGCATAGAACATAAAGTAGCATGAGTGAGACAGTTTTTATTTATTTCTATTTCAATGTGACTCTTAAAGAAACACATTCAAGAGAACATTCATTATTATTATCAGTACCAAACCATATTCTTAACTATGATAATAGCAATAGAAGCTAAAACATCTTGAGCATTTACTTTGTGCCATGAACTGTGTCAAGCACTTTGCTTTTGTAATTTAATTGAATTTTGAAATAAATCTATACATACATACTGTTATTATCACTGTATTATAAAGGTTAAGTAACTTGATTAAGGTTACACGTTAAGGACCAGACCCAGGGCTTGATCCCAGGGTTCATTAAAAACCTGGGCTCTTAATCATAATACAATGTTTATTAAAAATTTGACATTTAATTCTGAGAAATATTTCTTAGGAGGAGGTCACTGTGACCTCTCATCTAATAATTGCCTCAAACTATCAAGATATTTTAGTGGCATCTGTAAATGGAGCCCAATACAATCAGGTGGATGCATGGTTTCTCTAATATATCAAGATAATGAAAATCCATAAGACTTTTGTTCACCATTCAAAAACTTCAGGGCATTTTAAGCGACATCAGCCAGAATGGTGTAGTGAAGACCTCCAAAAATCCTCTTCACCATATAAGCAACTAGCAAAAATCTCCAGAATCAACTATTTTGGAATTCTGTAAATTAACTAATGGCTTGATGCAATCTGGAGAGTGTTTACTTAAGAAAAATGGCTGAATCTCAGTAAGAGCAGCAAGGTCTGTGGCGTTTTAACTTGCTCTAATCTTCTCCTCCTCTCCTAGAAAACCAACAGCCCAAAATCACAAAGAAAACCAGCTATCTGGCAGCCACTGGAATGGGCAGAGCAGGGTTGGATTTTATGTAGTTTCTATATAAAATACTTAAAACTTGAGATTTGGTGAAGAAAATGATGCAAAAAGGCTTTTGACAATGCATAATTTCATTACAACAGCAGCTAATTGAGAGGCTGTCAGGGAGTAGAAACCTGACCTGAGGCAAGGCCACTCTTTAGCTTCCGGTGACACCTGGGAAATATAATTCAAAATCAGATTTTGAAGAGGAAAAAACATATTATATTCATTTATATTCTACACACTTTTCTTGTGATGATTCAAAACTTATAATATTTTCGACTGCATATCAGCAATAAGCAAGATCTACTGCTACATCAATGTTATTCAAATTTTAAAGTTCATAAAAATTACCTGGAGATCCTGTTAAAAGGAAGATTGAAATTCAGTAGGCATTGGGTGGGACATGAGATTTTGCATTATAAACCAGCTTCCAGATAACATCAGCAATAATAGAATAGTAGCACTGGCATCACCTGGAAGCTGAAAATTTTAGCACCCAATGCAGAGCTTCTGAATCAGAATCCCCAGGTGATTCCTGGGTGCATTACACTTTGAGAAACACTGTAGTAGATGCAAATGTTTCCCTTATATCTTCCAAATTAAATTTCTTGAAAGTCCGAAAGAGAGGATTCATTTTTTTTTTCAGATGAGAAAATTGAGGGTTAGAGAAGTTAAACTATTTGCTCAGGGCACAGAGACGATGTGATCAAGGTGAAATGCAATATTTAGTCTTATTCCAAATTATGCATTTGTCCTACTATATTTCAGCTGCTGCAATTTAAAACCGTAGCAGTAATAAGTAAACTTGGGATAGTTTTAAAGATAAAGTTAGATAAAGATAAATATCTATTGAATTACCATCAATTATTACAGAATTGTGAAAAAAGACAATGTAATAATTGATTGTATTATATAGCCTTCTTTTCTCTTTTAGGAATCTCCGAATTTGTCATCATATTTTCCATGCATGTTAGCAGTGAATCTGATAAAAAGAATTTTAGAGCAGTTAGAATAACTGTCAAACTTGTGTACTGTGTTTGAAGACATTGTGTATTCAATGCTATTTTACTATTTGCCCACACGCAGACACACTTTCGGAGGTTTGCAGTTTCCATTATATATGACTGTCTAGTATTTTGGGAAAATGGACCTTTTTCCTATCATTGGAATGTTAACATTTGAAGTATCACTGCTTCCCGTCATAGCTATGAACTGTGTGGGAGCATGTAATTAATTGAAGAGCAACATCCTTAAGGTCTCCATGATGAGTTTGTGAACAGCCATGTCAAAGTGTACTTGTCACAATTATGGAGTATGAGTGTCAGGTCCCTAGAGATTTAAACTCTCTTGTATCTTGGGAAGCTTTGATTCCATCTAGTCTCTGGGACAATAAATGGCCATAGCCCCTTGTAAAGAGACTTTCTTAGAATTTTTATAGTTGTTTAGGACAGACTAGCTCGGCAGTAATGATGATGTGTGTGCCACTGTACACACTATCAGTTTTTCCTTTTGATTCCCTGTCATTTTCTTCTTAGAATGCCAATGAGGAACATGAAGCCCAGATAATGAGGTCAGACTGGTTATAATCACCAGCCCATTCTGAAGAGTCCAAGCAGATTCTGGAGTTCCACTGTGCTACACGATCCAGCAATTCTTCCCTGAACCATATAATTTTATACAGGTTGACTCTAAATATCACATAATAGGCACTTTTCATCATAAGCATTGGCTAAAAATTTGATTTTTCTTTAAAAAAAACCTAGGGACTTTAAATATAATATGTAAATGCAAAAATATATGTAGATGACAGCATTCTGTGCAATATAGTTTCAATTTGTATTTTTTGCAATGAATAACTTTGTACATGTGTCATTTTGCATGTTTGAACATATCTGTAAGACACCTGATGATTTTTGACAAATGTGTATACTCCTGAAAACACCACCTAATCATGATATAGAAAAGTGACACTTATGCCTCTTTGGAGTCAGTTCCCTGCCCGTAACTCTGGCCCATAGCATCCTTGATGTGCTTTCTGTCTCTATAGTTTTGCCTTTTTTTACAATTTCATATAAATGGAATAATACAGTATGTAGACTTTCATGTCTAGGTATTTTCCACTTAGCATAACACTTTTGACATTTATGTTGCTACATGTAGCAGTTCGTTCTTTTTATTGTCAAATAGTATTACTTGCTGTAGATGTGCCACAGTTTATCTATTCACTAGCTGATGGAGAATTGGTCTGTTTCCAGTTTGGGGCTAATATGAATAGTGTTGATATGAACATGTGGCTGCAAGCCTTGGGTGAACATATGTTTTCTTTTTCCTTGGGTAAATGTTTAGCACATGGTTCTGCTGGGTTTTACGGTTACTGCATATTTAAGTTAGTAAGAACCTACCTAATTCTTTTGTGAATTGGCCCTAACATTTTGTATTTCTAGCAGCCAAACTTGGTATATTTTCAGTCTTAACTTTACACTTTGTAAGAAATGTGTAGAGACATCTCATTATGGTTTACATTTTAGTTTTTCTAATGACTAAAGATGCTGAGCATCCTTCCATGTATTATTTGCTATTTGTGTATCTTCTTTGATGATGTGTATATTTCAAATCTTTCGCCACTTTTTCATTGAGTTGACTGCCTTGTTTTGCATGAGTTCTTTACATATTCTTAAAACAAGTTATTTATCAGATAGTGATTTGCAAATGTAGTCTCCATTTCCAAAAAGGCTTGACTTTTTGAAAAGTGTCAATTTTGACAAAGTCCAACTTATCAAATAATTTTTTAAAAAAATATTTTTATAGTTAGAGCCTTTTGTGTCCTGAGTCTTCACTAGCACAACGTCATAAGATTTCTTTAAAATTATTTTCTTCTATATATCTTATACTTTTAACTCCTACATTTAGGTCTGTGATCCATTTTAAGTTTTTTGTATGTGATGTGAGGCAAGGATTGAGGTAATTTATTTATATTTTTTAGGGCTATGAAATTGTTCCAGCATCATTTGGGGAAATGACCTTCCCCTTTCCATTGAAATACCGTGGTACATTGGTCAAAAATCAAATGACTACACATATTTCTGGACTATCTGTTCTATTTCATTGATCTGTGTGTCCATCTTTATATCAATAGCACACTTTTAATTATGTGTGACTTTATACTAAGTCTTGAAATCAAGTTGTATATATTCAACTGTTATTTCCTTTCAAATTATTTGTGCTATTCTAGATAGCTTTTATTTCCCTGTAAAACTTATAATCAGATTGTCAATCTCTACAAATAAAAATTCTGATGGAATATTTTTGTGACAATTATATTAAAACTATAGGTCAATTTTAGAAAAATTAATAGCTTAATAATATTGAGTATTCTAATACATGAGCAGGGTATATTTCCACATTTATGTAGTTCTTATTTGTTTGTTAGTGTTTAGTAGTTTTCAGAGTGTGTCTTATACATGCTTTCTTAAATTTCTCCCTAAATATTTTAAATTTATGAGTGTTGTTCTAAACAATAATTTTATTTCAATTCTAATTGTCCAATGTAGTATGTAGAAATACAATAAAGTTTTATAAATTGACTGTGCTTTATGTGATCTTTATATATTTGCGTATTAGTTATATTAGTTTTATTTGTCGATTACAAAGAATTTTCGACATAGATGTTCATGTTGACTGTGAATAAAGAGAGTTTTACATATTCCTTTCCAATTTTATACCTTTTATTTATTATTACTGGCTAGGATTTCCAGTACAATGGAAATGGTGGGATAAGGTAAACTTACCTTAAACCCGATCTTAGAGGCAAAGCATTTGGTCTTTTACCATTAACAATAGTATTTTAACTAAATTTTTCAGAGATAACCTTTGTTAATTTGAGAAACTTTCAATTTTTTTATCTGCATCCGCGATGATTTTTTTGTATCTTAAAGTGGTGTATTAATACAGTGAATTACATTGATTGATTTTGGCTAACCAACCTGTCTTCCTGGGATAAACCCCACTGGTCCTGATTTATTATCCTTTTTATATGGTGAAGTCAATCCAGTAAGGTTTTGTTTAGGATTTATATGTCTATATTCATGAGGGATATTATTCTGTATTTCTCTTTTCTTATAATGTCTTTATCTGTTTTGATATTAGAGCAACACTGCCCTCATAAAATTAGTTGGCAAGAATTCCCTCTACTTCTTTTTTTCTGAAAGAGTCTGTGCACAATTAATATAATTTCTTCTTTACATGTTTGTTAGAATTCACCAGTAAATTTAAGTTAGAGGTGTTTTTGTTTTTGTGGGAATGTTTTTAGCTACGAATTCAATTGCTTTACTAGTCTCAGTTTCTTTCTTTCTTTCTAATCTTGAGGGAGCTTTGGTTTGTATCTTTTAAGGAACTTGAACATTTCATCTCCATTGCCCAATTTCTTGGCAAAAAGTTGTTCATAATAGTCCCTTATGATTATTTTAACATCTGTAAGACCTTTGGTAGGTCACTTCTGTTAAACCTGATATAGGTAATGTAACATTGTTTTTTCTTTTCTGATCAGTACGATGAGTTTTATCAATTTTATTGATCTTTTTAACAAACCAGCTCTTGGTTTCACTGGTTTTCTAGATTGTTTTTGTTCTCTCTCTATTTTCTTGATTTTTGTTCTTATCTTCATTACTCCTTGCCTCTGTTTCCTTTGGTTTAAATTACCTCTTATTTTTGCAGCTCTCTGAAAAGGAAACTTAGATAATTAAATTTAGGTCTTTATTCTTTCTGATATAAGTCCATAATTATATGAATTTTCCTCTAAGCACTACTTTAGTTGTATCACACAAACTTGGTAGAACTTTTTCCTTTCATTTAGTTTTTAAACATACCTGTATCTTTATATTTTAAATGATGTGTATACAGTATAGAGTTGAGTGTTGAATTTTTATTTATTTTATCTCTGCCTTTAGACTGGAATATATAAGGCATTAAGATTTAATGCAATTACTGATATGGTTGAGTTTAATTCTGTCATCATGGTATTTTTTTCTACTTGTTGCATCTGATAATTGCTCCTCTTTTATTTTTTTATGTCCTTTTTTTTAAAAAAAGTTTATTATTATATAACATTCCATTTTATCTTTATTGTTGGCTTATTACCTAATACCTCAGTTTATTTTTTAGTAGTTGTTCTATGTTTATAACATTCATATTTAATTTATTACGGTCTACTTTTAAATAATATTGCAACACTTTGCATACAAATTAAAAGTCTTAAAGTAGTCTGCTTTCATGTTTGCTTCCATTTTCTGTCTTTTATTCTGTCGTTGTCATACATTTCATTTCTGTATGTATTATGTATGCCATGTTACATTATCTTATTTTTGCTTTATACAACAGGTTATCTTTTAATGAGATTAATAATAAGAAAAAATATTATTTTATATTAATCCACATATTATTGCTGTGTAGTGCTCTTCACTTCATTCATCTGTGTGCACATGTGTCTATCTGGACTCATATTCCTTCTGCCACAACAACTATTTAACGTTTCTTGTAGTACAAGACCATCAGTGATGAATTTACTCACAGATTTTGTTTCTCTCAAAATGACCTTAGCTCCTTTTTATATTTGAAAAATGTTTAAATATATTCACTGGACATAGAAATCTAGGTTAATAGATTTTTTTCAGTACTTCAAAGGTTTTGATCCACTTCTTTTGGTTATATAATTTCTAACAAGAAATCTTCTGCAACATATCTCTTTGTTCTTCTGTATGTAATGTGTCCTTTGTTCCTCAGTCTGCTCTTAAGCTTTTCTCTTAAATTGGTTCTCAGCATTTTATGATGTGCTTTTGTGTGGCTCCCTTTATGTTAATTCTGAGCTTCTGAGATCTTTGTGTTTGTAATTTTCATCAATTCTGTGAAAAAAATGAGTATTTTTTCTCTGTGCTTCATGATAGTTTCTCTTATGAAGACAAAATTTTTATAAGTCTGAATTTATTCTTTTTAAGTTTTCTCCTAACCTGCTATTAATCTCATCGAGTGTAATATTCACTTAAGTGATAATTTTCATCCTTAGAAATTCTATTTGGACTTTAAAAATACATTTGATCTATCTCTTCATCATGTTACATTTTGCTTTACCTTCTTGAACATATTTACAGAATATAATAATAATATCCTTGTCTGCTATCAGAAATGACTCAATCACATTTGGGTCTTTTTCTATTAGCTATTTTATGTCCTGGTTACAGCTCATATTTTTATGATTCTTTGCATGCCTTGTAGTTTTTAGTTGTATGGAAAACATTGTGGGCTTTATACAGTTGGTTACTGAATTTTGAAAAAAATATATATTCTAGATGTGTTGGACTTCGTTCTGGCACAGAGTGAAGCATCTGGGGATTAGCTGAATCATATTTATTATATGTTAATAAGCTTAATTTTTAGAGCAGTTTCAGGTGTACAGAAAAATTGAGCAGAAAGTACAGACGGTTCCTATATACCTCCTCTCCACCGCCTTTTTAAACACAGTTTCCCCTTTTATTAACATCTTGCATTAATGTGGTATATTTGATATACTTGATGAGCCCATATTATACATTATCATTAACTAAAATCCATAGTTTACATTAGGGATCACTTTTTGTGTTGTATGCTCTATGGGTTTTGACAAATACATAATGTCATGTATCCATCATTCCAGCATCATACCGAATAGTTTCACTGCCCTAAAAATTCCTTATGCTCCTGGTATTCATCCTTCCCTTCCTCCCTGAGCTCCCACTGGATCATTTAAAAGATGCTTTAAAATTTGTGAGGACTAATCCATAATTTAAATCTTAGCACTAAGGTAATACCTTTGTGAGAACTCTACACAATGCCTCATTATCAGGACTTTGCACTCTTTTTGTGGGAAAGACAAATTATTTCAAGCTCAGTTTGAGGCCCAGAAGTTGTTCAGACTAAGCATCTCTGGTAAATTCCCTCAAGTCTTGTGTAGTGTCCTCTCATGCAAACATAAATCAGTTCTCATCTACTCTCCGTAGATTTCTGGACGCTCTATGTCTAGTTCTCTCTTCCCTGTTTTCTACTCCCCCAAATTCTAGCTCCCTTGGGCTTCTCATTGTCTGACCTTACTCTCTTCAGCTCAGCAATACCTGGATTTTGCTTGCATTTTTATTCCCTGTGATACTATGTGAAAACTGCCTCCCAGTAGTAATCTGAGGCAATAACTGGGTTCCCCTCATTTGTTTTCTTTCTCTTATGAATCATAGGCATGTATTGCCTGTTGTCCAATGTCTAAAAACTGCTGCTTCATATAGTTTTCTGGTTTTCTAGTTGTTAAATGTGAACAATCTCTATTCCTTCATCATGATGGGAAGCAGAATGCAATATTATTTGTTAGTATTTTAAAATAATGCTGAAAAAACATTCTAAAGGTTTCCTTGAAAGCACATATCTATTATATAGATATGGATATGCTTATATAGCAAGGATATCATTAATGGCTACATCAATATTTGAATGGTAGCAAGAAGAAGAATAATGGTAAGGAATGTATAGATAATTTTTCAAGTAGAAGATAATTTTAAAAGACAGTATTTAAAAAATAAAGCAGTCTCCATGTTTTTCAATAGAATTCATGTCAGTTGACTGCAAATAGTATGTTAACAGCCAAGAATAATGAGTTTCATTCACTTAAACATCCACCAAAATAAGAAAATAAAATAAAAATAACTATTATGGGTTAGTAAATATGTAAGGTTCATTTTCCAACTGGTGCAGTTTTTACTGAAATGAAATAAAAAACCATTTCACTTGGATTACACTCACTCAGATCAGGCTAATGCTGCAAACACCTGTTGTATCTCAGGGGTTACTTCAGCTTTAGAGTATATTTGATTGAATTGTAATTGTGCATGTATAAAATGCACAGCAAATGATTAGGAGGCATGAGCACAAATACAAATTTGATCTCAGAAGTCAGAGCCTGTGAGAGATAATGCCTGTCTGCAGTCTGATCACTACCTCTCTTTTTCAGCCAATCCCCAGAGCTACCAGAGTTACTTTTCTTTTTTAAAACTTTTGTTTTAATTCAGGGGTATAACTGCACGTTTGTTACACAGGTAAACTTGTGTCATGAGGGTTTGTTGCACAGATTATTTCATTGTCCAGGTATGAAGCTTAGTACCCGTTATTTTTCCTGATCCTCTCCCTCCTCCCATTATCCACCCTCCAACAGGCCCCAGTGTGTGTTGTTCCCCTTCCTCTGTCCATGTGTTCTCATCCTTTAGCACCCACCTATAAGTGAGAACATGAGGTATTTGGTTTTCTGTTCCTATGTTAATTTGCTGAGTATAATGGCCTCCAGCTCCACCCATGTCCCTGCAAAGACATGCTCTTGTTCATTTTTATGGCTACACAGTATTCCATGGTGTACATGTACCATGTTTTCTTTATCCAGTCTATCATTGATGGGCATTTAGGTTGATTCCACATCCTTGCTATTGTGAACAGTGCTGCAATGAACATACATACGCATGTGTCTTTATAATAGAATGTTTATATTCCTTTGAGTATAAGAGTTACTCTTCTGGCCGGGCATGGTGGCTCATGCCTCTAATCCCAGCACTCAGGGAGGCCAAGGTGGGCAGATCACCTGAGGTCAGGAGTTTGAGACCAGCCTGGCCAACATGGTGAAACCCCATCTCTACTAAAAATACAAAAATTAGCTGGGTGTGGTCGCAGGTGCCTATAAACCCAGCTACTCAGGAAGCCCAGGCAGGAGAACCACTTGAACCTGGGAGGTGGAGGTTGCTGTGTCCGAGATTGCACCACTGCCTTCCAGCCTGAGTGACAGAGTGAGACTCCATCTTGAAAAAAATTAGTAGTAAAATAAAAGAGTTGTTTTTCTAAAACAAAAAAATCCAATGTCAACATGCTCTTGCTCAATAGTTATCAAAGATTCCTGAATGCAGAATGGTTTATAAGGCCTTGAAAATATTGTGAAGTCTTTCCAGCCATTCTTTCACCAATCTTCCCTATATGCCCCGACATCATTGACCTTACCAAAATTTTCACTTGGATGCACCCTGATCTTTCTTTCTGCTAAAGACTGAATGTTTGTGTCCCCAACAAGATTCATATTTTGAAATCCTAACCCCCAGTGTGATGGTATTAGGAGGTAAGGCCTTTGGGAGATAACAAGGTCATGGCAGCCCTCATAAATTAGATTAGTACGAGCATAAAAGAGATCCCAGAGAGCTCCTTCACTCCTTCAGCCAAGTGAGGACACAGCAAGTAAACAGCTGTATGTGAACCAGGAAATGGGTCCTCACCAGAAACCTATCTGCTGGTGCCTTGATCTTGGACTTCCCAGACTTCAGAACTTAATAATAAATTTCTGTTCTTTATAAGCTACCCAGTCTATGGTGTTTTGTTATAGTAACTCCAGTGGACTAAGACACTCACCCACTTACCAATCTATATTTCTTTTTCTGGTGGAATGACTCTTTAAATGTCCCATCTGTGATGGTTCCCCGACCTCTAAGAAAAATACCATAATTCCCTACTTTTGATCTCATAGGCCTGTGACATATCCTGTATATAACATTTTTCATACTATAATTGAATATTTAGTGGTTCAAATCTGCAACTAGGCTAGGCTGTAAGTTCCTGTAGGGCAAAACTTTTCCTTATGCATCTTTGCATTCGCAGGCTTACTGATGAGCATTGCATAAAGCAGTTGCTTAATGAATATTTATTGAATGATAAATTAAGACATATTTTAAAAGATTATTATTGTGAAGAGTTAATTCTACCCTCAGATATGATCTAATTTTATATAAATCAGGAGAATGAATAAGAAAAGAGGAGAAACTTATTTGTGGACGTAAGAAAATGAGTAGATTCAGAGAATGAGGAAGGGCAGAAGAAGACAAGAGACCCTGCTTGGGTGGATTTGGGAGAGTTTTGAGGGACACTGCATGGAATGGATTTGGGAGAGTTTTGAGAGCAGGGGAGACAATAACAGAGTACTTTAAAACAACTTTCTTACTGTAGTTTTGATTTGCATTTCTCTAATGATCAGTGATGTTGAGCTTTTTAAAGTAAGTTTGTTGGCTGCATAAATATCTTCTTTTGAGAAGCGTCTGTTCATGTCTTTTGCCCACTTTTAATGGGGTTGTTTTTGTTTTTGTTCTTGTAAATTTGTTTAAGTTCCAATGAGATGCCATCTCATGCCAGTCAGAATGGTGATTATTAAAAAGTCAAGAAACAATAGATGCTGTCAAGGATGCAGAGAAATAGGAACACTTTTATGCTATTGGTGGGAATGTAAATTAGTTCAACCATTGTGGAAGACAGTGTGGTGATTCCTCAAAGATCTAGAATCAGAAACAACATTTGATCCAGCCATCCAATTACTGGGTATATACCCAAAGGAATATAAATAATTCTGTTATAAAGATACATGCACACATATGTTCACTGCAGCAATATTCACAATAGCAAAGACATGAAATCAACCCAAATGTCCATCAATGATAGACTGGATAAAGAAAATATGGTACATATACATCACGGAATACTTTGCAGCCATGCCATAAAAAGGAATGAGATCATGTCCTTTGCAGGGACATGGATGGAGCTGGAAGCCATTATACTCAGCAAACTAATGCAGGAACAGAAAACCAACCACCCCATGTTCTCATTCACAAGTGGGAGCTGAACAATGTGAACACATGGACATAGGGAGGGGAACAACACACACTGGTGTTTGTTGGGAGAAGGGGGGGAAGGGAAAACATCAGGAAATGTAGCTGATGGATGCTGGGCTTAATATCTAGGTGATGGGTTGACAGGCACAGCAAATCACCATGGCACATGTTTACCTATGTAACAAACCTGCAAATCCTGTACATGTGCCCCAGAACTTAAAATAGAATAAAATAAAACAAGTTAAAAAAACACACAAAAAACAACTTTCTATGCATTAAGAATGCAGTCAGATTTAGTATTTTCTCTAGAGACACAATAAACATCTAACTTGTTTCTAATTATTTTTGGATGCAAGAACACTTTTTCTTTAAATACTGACTCATGCTGAAGAGTGGGCCAGGATGTAGCTAGGTGGTTTATGTGCTCAGTGAGGTCTCCTGAAAGTTTGGTTGCTGTGAGCTGGTTTCCCCTGGGGCCTGATTGATCCTGGGTTAAATGAAACAACTACACTCCCAGGGAATGGGGAGACCTTCCCGTGACCCCCAACAAATTATGATAACAGATGGGATTATTTTGCTTCTCCATTTTTCCTGTACTTCAAAAACAAAACAAAACAAAACAAAAACAACTTATCTACTTGTGCACCTATCCCTTACACAATTATTGGTGTACCTAGAGAAATTTACTTTTCTCATTGGGTATCAGGTTTCTTATCCACAAAAGAGGCAGGGGGACACTATGCAATTTTTAAAAGATTTCTCCTCAAATAACAAGATTTGCAACAAGAGTTTAAAGAATAACAACAACAAAAACACTGACTTCTAGGAAGATGATGGCAGCACAGTATTGGATCTCCTGAAATTCTCACATAAAAACAGAGCAACTAGATAGCCAAGTCAAAACTCATGGGCAACATTTCCAAAAAACTAGCTGACAGGGTATCTCCCAAAAGCCCCAAATACATGTTGGTCGAGACAAATCCCCATTTCCACAAGGCCTGCATGATGTCAGTGTCTCTGTAGAGGGAAGGAAAGAGGAGCAATGGGGGCTCTGATGGTCCTGGAAATAGAATATCCCCAAAGCGCCCCATAGATATTCACTGGAAAATGCGAAGAGTTAATTTAAGAAGAGCGGCTAAAAGTGGGAGGGATTGCACCTAGTCCAATAGAGGTGGCCAATGGCAAGGTCTGAAGGAGTGAGACATCCAGCCCCTAAGATCTCTCCACACTGACCAGCCAGGACTCCCTTCCAGACAGGGCTTTGCATGGAGGGGATACTGCTAAGAGAGAGGTGAAAATTGGGAAGGACTAGGAGAACAGAAATGAAAAAACAGGAAGAAAGACCAATGAAAATCAACAAGGCAATAAAGCCAGGACATCTCAGGAAGCAAGATGTCATATTTTTTGATATGATGGGAAAAAACAGATTGAGCTCTGTGAAGTCAGAAAAGCTAACCTGAATGGATCCTTTACACACACATGGAGTTGTGACAACATGTCATTTGGAAAATTCACTGAGTTATGCTAATCTTCCAAATCCTGACACACGTATTTCTATAGTATCAAAGATACTATAGATTTGTTAATATCAACACTAATCTCACCAGAAATGTGCTTAGGAATTTAGGAAGCTGTCAAGCTCAAGGTTTTGAATACATATTTGTCACATGCAAGTTTAAATTCTGTCAATGGCAACAAACTCTGACAGCTGTATTTCTTGAAGTGAAACGTTTAGTTCATTTTTGAGAATGTGTCTGCTAAATGCTCTAGTCTGAATAACTGTAGTTTGTCAGTTGTCCTTTCAAATAAAAATGGAGTTCCAAGAAAAATCAGTTAGTGCTGCTCAAATATCACACAAATGCTTCCCCTTGAGCCAATCATTGTGTTACTTTTAGAGGGAGCATGCAGAAGTGCTTTATACAGACAGCCGTCTCTGCACCCTAATATGAAAGAAATGTGTTCTCAAGGTCGTATATTTAATGCAATTAATATATTTTACTGTTCAGTAAGAACATTCCTAAGTAAAATTGGAATTTTCTTCCCTATTGTAAATGCGTGGTGGTGAAGAATATGGTGCTAGTTGGGTTTGGTGGCACTGCCTTGATTTGTACTAAGGTGCCAGCTGCTGTACCCGTCACTGCTTTAGCACCATCTGTGCAAATGTCAACACAGTGAAAGGGCAACAGCATCTTCATATTACTATGAAAATACATTTGAGGCCATGGACCTCCTGAATGCATCTCTGGGGCCCCCAGTTATCTGAATATTATATTTTGAGAATCTCTAGGCTGGAAAGACATCAATACAAGGACCAGTAGTGAACATTAAGTGGATAGATTTACATACATATCTCCAAAGATTAAATGAGGACTAAAATGGAGAGGGAATAGTGTATAATGGGTATATATTCTGAAAGCATATAGTATAAATATTAAAAGAATAAAAGGAGGATTAAAAGAGCACATGTAAAGAATTTTGCAGTAACCATACTGGTGTTGGTATTGTTATCCTGAGACTACTGTGTGTGTGACGAGTTATAGAGCAAATGATTAATTATGAGATGTTCTAATTCTGTTATCCTCAGTGTCTTTGCAAACCAGGATTCCTTGGAAGAAAGGGAATAAAACTGTAAAGAGAAAGGAATAAATAAAAACCCTGTAGTTATAATTTTGAATTGTAACTAATGTGAACTTGTGAGGCACTTTTTCTTTAATAGGTAAATGTGTATATATGTTTATTATGCATGTAATATGTACACATGTAGTGTGCATTTATATCTACTAGCTCTGCCCACTAAAAAGACTAGAAACAATGACCAAGCCAGTAGCAATGAGTATCACTGGCACTAAGCA
Organism: Homo sapiens; assembly: GCF_000001405.40. Classification (NCBI taxonomy): domain Eukaryota; kingdom Metazoa; phylum Chordata; class Mammalia; order Primates; family Hominidae; genus Homo; species Homo sapiens. The sequence goes on along the minus strand of NC_000004.12, from coordinate 85,980,146 downwards.
TCTAGCTTGCCTTAAAATATCATTTCCCCACTAAAAGAAGTCAGGAGTTTTTGGAAATTGACTGATTCCAGGTTTGGGGCATAAAACATATGAGCCTAAGAAATCTTGTCATACTACAAAGAAAAATAGCTACCCCAAACTAGGAAGGCCTGTCAAAAGAACTAAGAAGACAACTTGAAGATGCTTCCACTGGCCAAAGATGGGAAAATTTGAGATTCAGTGAAGGACAGTACTTACAATGTATTGACCAAGCAAATTGATTTTAATACATGACTTTATAATGATATTTTTTAAATATTCACAATAATACGTATACTGGGAAGACAAAGAAAATAGTACTCATTTTTAGAGGAGTTAAAAAATCTGTTTATGTGCTTTAAAAGCTGGTAAGTAAAGGGAAAGATTCAAGCAGCATTTGTCTTGCCTTTTAAAGATACCATTGGGTTCCTAAGCAGTAGATGAGAAGAAAATTTTTTAAAGTGTTCAAATTATTAATTTAAAAATTAAAATATTGCCACATGGATGAACCTTGAGGACATTATGCTAAGTGAAATAAGCCAGTCACAACAAGTATAACAGGTATATGAGGTACCTAGAGTAGACAAATTCATAGAAACTGAAAGCAGAAGGGTAGTTGCCAGGGCCTGGGGGAGAGGGAAAGGGGAGTTCGTGTTTAATGGGTAGGGAGTTTCAGTTTTGCAATGTAAAAAAGCTCTGGAGATGGATGGCGGTGATGGCTGCAAGACTATGTGAAAGTACTGAATGCTACTGAACTGTGAACTTAAAAATGGTTAAGATGATACATTTCATGTTATGTGTGTTTTACCACAATAACGAGTTGAAAAAACCACATAATTACAATATCAGCATTTCAGCTTCCAGCGAATTAATAGCTTTAGGAATTTCATTAAGTTCACAAAAAGAGAGATGAAGTGACATTATGTGTCTCCTGATTAAAGGACACAACACAATCAAAGGTCACGCCAAGCAGATCAAACATGGATTTTATCCAGGTCCTAACTTGTAGGAAATGCAGAGGGCAGAGAAATATTAATATATTACATTGCACCATGAATCAACAAATCCGTGGATCAACAAATCCAGACTACGGGAAACTCTACAAGTGAAATAACATGATTTTTCAAATGGCAAATTATAGGGGGTGCTGTATATTAAAAAATTCTTAAAAGGTATCAAGTAAAGGAATAGGAAACTTAAATGTAATGTCTGGGAAGTCCATTTGGGTGATAAAACTACACAGAAACACAAAGAAATTGCTATAAAATTCTGGATATTAGGATGACAGACACTGGGATTGGGTCAGGGCACAGGAAGAGTTTTGGGGATGCCTGGAAAAGTTCTCTATTTTTAAATATATAGTTATTTGTAGAGGACTTGTTTTATATAATTCATTAAGATGTGTGTATGTGTGTGTGCATGTGTGTGGTGGTGTTCTGTATTGCACGTATTTTAATTTATAATAAAGATTTCAAAAAACAATGGACTAATGTATCTCCAAGCTTCTTGTAGCTTCAAATTTCATGTTTTCTAATGTCTGCTAAACTCCTCAGATAGAAATTAAGTTTTCTGAACTATCTCATTGCCAAAAATCTGATGTTCAACTTATATTGCCCTTGGTGTTTAACAAAGGAAATCAAACTGAAGTGATGCAGGCAGACATGCAAAAGCTTTTTTTCTCACACGTAAGATCTAAAAAAATGAAAATATTGGAATTTTAAGGAAAGGAACGGTATCAGGTAGTAAAATCCAGGTGACTGAGGGGGACATTTTGTTCTAGACTAAATAAACCTAGAGTGAATCTAAAAATAATTATTGTTTCTCCTTTCCTTTTTCTTTTAAATTCTGAAATCATAAATTAGTCCAGTTTGTAGCAAACAATGTTGCTATTAATGACATAGAGCACCTAGGCCTGCTGGGAAAAAACACAAAGTACAGTTCATTGTGGAAAATAATTGAGACACTTTGTAATTTGAACAACAAAAATTCTTTCATGTTTTAACCTACAAATAAACAAGCAGCATTGTCTTATAAAAGACCATTTTTCCCTAAGTCAGTCAAATAAAATCAAAATTAATAAAAATGTATATTAACTGAAAATAATAACTTTTTGAATTTTCTGAAAATTGTAGTGAACTCACGAAGTGAGGTAGTTTTTTTCAGTTCTTGAATACTTTACATATGATTTATGAAGGTTTCATTTATTCTTGTAAGGCTAATGAAGAGGCGTTTAGTATATTTTATGTTTAGTAAACACAAACAAAAAATATCTGACTTTCAAAAGGAAGATTTTTACATTTAAAGAACTTCAGTTAATAAACGGAGTTGCCATGTATTCACTTATTACCTTGGTTTGCTCAGAGATGAGTAGATTCTGGCCAGTCAAGAGATAATTACTTCTTCTTTTGATAAGGGTATAAGATAATCATTTACTTACCCTCCATGATAGTCAAAGGATCTTCCACTTTGGGGCGCAGGATATTAGGACCAAAGACCGTTGCCAAGTTCTGCACACTCATTTTGTTAACTCCCGAGTAGGACTGTACTTCATCCAAGAATCTATGGAGTATAAGCATATGATTGAAATACAATGGGATCAAATTTGCCAGTGGAAGAAAAATCGATCATTAGAAAATTTACAAACTAAAGTTATGTTCAAAGATGACTATGGAGACAGAATTATTTGGATGTTCACCCATCTCTCACTCAAACACAGGGACAATGTATTGCAAATTAGAAAGGATCAAACTTTATTTATCATATCAACTATCTGTCTTGGCCTGGCCTGCTTTGATTTCCTCTGTCAATCAAAGGAACAGGTGTGTTTGGACAATACTAATATGGACTTGAGAGTCAACAATGTGGATTCCCTTCCAATCCCTCAATAAAGTAATAATTTTATATCTCTATTCAATTAGGGGACTGTAATAAGATCAGCTGGTAGGATGCCTTCTTTAGACAGGAGGAATTAACCCTTTTTGTGGAGTAATTTGTGAGCTTCAAAATTATAGTATATTAAGAAATGAGATAGATAAAATACAGGCCGGACATGGTGGCTCACACCTGTAATCCCAGCACTTTGGGAGGCCAAGGCAGGTGGATCACCTGAGGTCAGGAGTTTGAGACCAGCCTGGCCAACACATGGTGAAACCCCATCTCTACTAAAAAAAATACAAAAACGAGCTGGGTGCGGTGGCGGGCCCCTGTAATCCCAGCTACTTGGGAGGCTGAGGCAGGAGAATCGCTTGAACTCGGGAGGCGGAGGTTGCAGTGAGCCAAGATTGCACCACTGCACTCCAGCCTGGGCAACAAGAGTGAAACTCGGTCTCGGAAAAAAAAAAAAAAAAAAGAGAAATAAAATGCTGTAGAAATTAAAACACAGTTCTAATGATACCAAAAATTGCAAATGCAAACTGTTTCTATTTATTAGGTGCTAAAAAGTAAGAGGCATGAAATAATAGGAGAGATTGTTTTCATAATCTTTCAGCATTCCTTCATTCCCTACCTCCTCTTCATTTATACAAGAGCTTCTATAATTTCATGGCTTGCTAATTGTACTGATGAGATAAAGAGGAAATAATGAAAAATTAAAATAACATATTTATATAGTACTAGTATGTGTCTGTCACAGTGCTAATTTATTAAATTCTCAAAGCATCTCTCTGAGGTAGGTACCATTATTGTCTCTGTTTTACAGATGAGAGTCATGTGGTACCAGAGGGGGGATCTTCTCCAAAGACAGAGTTAGTAAGGGGCAAAGCTAAGACTTGAACCCACCGGAGGATGTGACACCAGAGGCCGTACACTTAACTACTATATCATGACTTTTAAAAAAGGTGCCTATTTCCACACATTCACTACTGTTATACAGCCTAAACTATAGTAACACTGAAGGCAAAAAGTCAAACTAGCATTTCTTATTTAAATTACCGGAAATTAAAAATCTGCTTAAATCTTTCATGAGAAGTTAGGCATTTCTATTGTGGAGATAAAGACTTACAATATGGTTCCAAAGAAGCTTTTTCATCCCTTTTACTTAAGGAGAATGTAATCTCTGTCTCACCCACTAGAATAACTTGAATTAGTTCAAAATGTTTGGATTATAAGCTTCCATATTAATAAGTCTAAGGTGTCAATGGCATGATTTCCTGCTTTTTCAAATTCTGGAACCCAAGGTACTGTTTGCTTCTAAGTATAATCATCACTAGAGGAACTTATTGTGGGAGGACTTGGAATTTCTACTCAGTTACACTGACAATTAACACCAAAATGTCTGATATTAGTCTTAGACTTCATAGTTCCTAGTCCCTTGAACGCTTATCTAATCATAACACCAAACACACACATAAATGATGCACTGTACTCAATTAAAACTTTGAATTTTATTTTAAAATGGACTGGGAAGCTATCATGTAAGACACCCTGCAGTGACTTGTAGTGCCAATCATCACTCTCTATTTAAATTTATTCTGTTTCAATTTTGCATATTTGGTTTCTTAAACAGGAGCACATATATGGCATATCCCATCCCAGGTCTTGAGTTATACATTGAGAGGTATATTTTCCAGGCACAATTATTTTTCTGGCACAATTATTTTTCTAACAGAATTCAGTTACAAATGTCTTTGATGAAACCTGAGGTGGGAGAGAAATGGAAAGAAAATAACATTTATTGAATGCTTACTATATACTAATCATTTAAAATATAATTCAATTTTTAAAACAACTATGTGAAATATGTGTTTTCATTACCATTTTACCTATTAGGACCCTGAGACTCAGAAAGAATAAGAGAACTGCATAAGACAGGCAACTAGTCAATGGCACAATCTTGGCTCCCATGCAGATGTTTCTCATGCCAAGGTGGCATGCTTCTTTTCCTAAACAATACCACTTCTGAAACAGTACAAAAAACTTGATTGAAGTTCAAAACAACCTATCTTTAGTGTGTAGAGGCAAGAGAAACTTCAAAAACATCACATTTCAAAGTTAAGCAATTTAATGCTCAAAGAAGCCTCTGAGATCACCTTGTCCAATCTTTTAATTTTACAGAGGCCAACACTAGGGCTCGAAGTAGTTGAGTGATTTTATTCGTTGTCAAACACAAATTAGTATCAGGCTAAATATGTCTTGTCTTGTTTACGTTTGTCCTTAGGACAGTTCTTACCTGCAAATATACTTGAGGAGGTTGTAATTTACCACTGGCAAACTCTTCACCTGCTTTGCTAATTCCTTAACACCCTGAGTACAAAGAAGAAAATAAATATTATTTTTCTACACGTTGGCCTTAGAATTAAAGCAAGTCGAAATGGCCATATAATTTTTTAAAAAATTAGTTTCACATGTTATCAGTGAAAGATCTTGTCCCGAAAACTTACCACCATCACAGTGAATATTTTAGATATATTTTCAAAGATGTACAAGGATTTAAAATATCTCCATAAGTACTATTTGTGGAGAAACAGATTCAAGTGAAGCTGTTATCATTTTTAACATATGCTCACAATTGACTGAAAAGAGAAGATAAGCTCATTTATTAATAAAATTATTTGAAGAAGAGTAAGTGATGTAGTGAGCATCCTTCCCAGTTTCAGCATGTGCAGAACATAGACAAATACATCTACTGACAAAAGTCTCTCAGAGCTGGTCATGTTTAGGATACATCATTTGGGGAGGGAGGATAATTGAAAAAAGTGATCTTTCTGGAAATTTCACAAGGGACGAATTTATTTGGTTCTTTTCATTATATGACTTCCCCTAAAATGTAAATGATAGCAGAAATGCCAATGGATAATGTAATTTGCTTTCTTCTTCTGCCCATAAAGGTCCAGATAGTAAATATTTGAGGCGTTATGGGACAAATGGTCTCTGCTTGCAACCACTCACCTCTTCTGTTGTAGTGCAAAAGCAGCCACAGACAATGTTATTTAACAAATGGAATAAAACTGCATTTATAAAAATAGGCAGCAGTTAGGCCGGGTGCATTGGCTCACGCCTGTAATCTCAGCACTTTGGGAGGCTGAGGTAGGTGGATCACGGGGTCAGGAGATCGAGACCATCCTGGCTAACAAGGTGAAACCCCCATCTCTACTAAAAATACAAAAAAAAAAAAAAAAAAATTAGCCAGGCTTGGTGGCGGGCGCCTGTAGTCCCAGCTACTTGGGAGGCTGAGGCAGGAGAATGGTGTGAACCCTGGAGGCGGAGCTTGCAGTGAGCCAAGATCCCGCCACTGCACTCCAGCTTGGGCCACAGAGCAAGACTCTGTCTCAAAAAAAAAAAAAAAAAAAAAAAAAAACAATAGGCAGCAGTTTTTGACATGAGTGCCAAGAAAATCTAATGGGGGAAAGAATAGTCTTTTAACAAACAGTGCTGGGACAATTGTATATCCACATGAAGAAGAATTAAGTTTGTTCCTTTCCTCACACCAAAAACAAAAATGAACTCAAAGTGAATCATAGTTCTAAATGTAAAAGCCGAAGCTATAGAAGTCTTAGAAGAAAATACAGGAGTAACTCTTTGTGACCTTGTATTAAGCAAAGTCTTCTTAGATATGACACACAACCACAACTGATTAAAAATAGATAAATTTGACTTCATCAAAATGTACAACTTTTGTGTTTCAAAGGACACCATCAATAAAATGAAGAGACAACTCACAGAATGTGAGAAAATATTTAAAATCATATTTATAAGGGACATATATCTAAACTATATAAACTCTTACAACTCAATACTATTAATAATAAGGCAAATAACCCAACTGAAAATGGGGAAATAATCTGAATAGATATTTCTTCAAAGGCAATATACTAATATCCAATAAGCACATGAAAAGATGTTCAGCATCATTAGCCATCAGGGAAATGCCATTCAACCTTCAATGAGATACGACTTTACTCGTGTTAGGATGGCTAAGATAAAAACGACAGGTAACAAGTGATGGTAGACATTTGAAGAAATCAGAATCTGCGCTCATTGCTGGTGGGAATTTAAAATGCTGGAGCCCTCTTGAAAAACAGAGTCACATATGGCCCAACAATTCTACCTTCTAGGTATATACTTAAGAGAAATAGAAACATAGATCCATGCAAAACTTTGTACGTGGATGTTCACAACAGCATTATTTATAATAGCCAAATAATGAAAAAAACCCCAAAGGTCTCTCTGATGAATGGATGAGTAATAGAATATTGTTTAGAATTAAAAGGAATGAAATACTTATAAGTGGCACAACATGAGTAAACTTTGAAAACAGTGAAAGAAGCCAATCGTGCACACACACCAAAAAAACATTGAATGATTCCATTTATAAGGAATGTCCAGAATAGGCAAATCTATAGGGGCAGAAAATAGATTAGTAGTTGCCAAGCGCTGGGGAAAAAGGAGAATTAAGAGAGGGTATGGGGTTTATTTTGAGGCAATAAAAATATTGTAAATATTCTAAAATTAGATTTTGGTGATAATCGAATATCTCAGAGTTGCACAACTCTGAGAATATACTAAAAAACACTGAATCATACATTTTAAATGGGCGATTGTATTGTATAAAAATTATACCTTAACAAAGCTGTTTAAAGAAATAGCAGTAGGTAGGATTTTGTATAGAAGCCACTATTTGAAGTGGTTTGGGTCCACACGATTAAAAGATTATGAGACACAGCAGTCACTTCTTTTGTGTGATGTGTGGCCTGACATAGCACTGCATTTATCATTTAGGGAAAGAAAGCGGCAAGTCGTGCTGATTTAATTTATTCAGCCATATTCTTTTTTTTTGATCAGAGAGGGGATCGGAAATGGTGCTTGAGCTGTATACGGAAAGTCTCAGTGTGTGTGAGGTCAATTCAAAGGATAGTGGAGAGTAACACCGGGATAGGGCAATGGAAATTTACAGATTTAAGACTAAGAACACAGAAAAAAATTCCAAACAAAAGCTTATTTGGAAATAAATGCATCAACTTACTGCTTCCTCTTCCTTGCTGAGCAGTTTGGCACATGACAAAAAATCTTCATACTTCGCATAAGGAATAACTGGTTCTGGAAGTTCTCGGAGGTACAGCTTAAGAAGTGATGCCACCGTGTGTACATCTGTGTTGCTGTGGAGACAGAAGTGTGAAGATATTCTTTGGAGTAAACTTCATACCATTCTATTTATTGTTTTTCAAGAGCCCAGGAGTCAGAATTCTATCCAAGTTGGCAATTGAATGAATCAACCCAGTTTTCAGAGAGCACTCATTTATGTGATGCCTATTAGATGCCACCACAGGTGGGGAGAAGAAGGCCTAGAAGGATCTATAGAATCCTCAGTGTGAGAGTGGAATGATGGCTACCAGAGGTTGGGAGGGATAAGTGTATGTGTCCGTGGGTGGGGTGGGAGTGGGGATAGTTAACGAATACAAAATATAGTAAGGTAGAATGTATAAGATCTAGTATTTGATAGCACAACAGGGTGACTACAGTCAACAATAATTTATTGCACATTTAAAAATAACTAAAACAGTATAATTGGAATGCTTATAACACAAAGAAATGACTGCTTGAGATGATGCATAGCCCACTTACCCTGATGTGATTATTACAGACTGTAGGCCTGTACCACAATATCTCACGTAACCCATAAATATATACACCGACTATGTACCCATAAAAATAAAAAAAATTAAAGAACCCTCAGTGTGATTTGAACATTCAAGCATTTTTCTTTATGTGTATTTGATGGTAAGCAAAGGTGTTAACTTAAGAAAACAATGAGAATATATTAGATCTTAAATAAAATATACTGTAATAAAATTTACAAAAAAATACCAAATCTATAGATGGGTATATGTGTGTATTCAATATCAAAATGAATTACTAAATTCTCGCTCATCTCTCAAAATGTTGGACTCATTTTTGAGAAGGTGTTGGTGTTTGCCTATAGATACTCGAAGCTTAGCGTGACATGCTATAAATTTTTAACAGAGCTCATTTTGAAAATAATTGATTCTAAGCATAATTGCTTGTCTAATATTCTAAGATGGCTGGGAATCCTTAGAATGTTCTAGAAAAGAAGAGAAATGCTATAAAAATAAACAATGAAAACTTAACGTCCTTTACATAACTTGAATAATTTATTTGTATCCTCTTCTGAGTGTGAGTGGCAAGATAACTTACTAAAATATTAATTTATATTTTGTCTTCTGTATCTTATATTTCCTGTTAATCCATGAAGATGGATGATAGTAAAGACAGCAAGAATAGAGTTTTAATTTGTGTGTGGGAAGTTGTTTTGTTTTTGTATTTCAGGGGAGAATAAGCAAAAGTCTGAAAGGAGAGTTGATTCCTGGAACCGGGAAGAGTAGTAGTGAACAACTCAGGGAATTCTTTACCTCACTCCCAAGCTGTGCTGCAGGAAATGACATGTCCCCAGAGAGGTGTGCTCTGAGAAGTTGGGAGGCAGGCACTGGGGTTTCCTGCCTCAGTGAATATTCTCTTATCCCAGCGGTGGCATGGAAGCAGAGCCAACTGTATGAAATTATATGAGCTGAGACAATGGGCTTCTCAGCTCTCAATTTTGGGCCCATGGGCTGATTCCATCAAATATTTACTGCACATCTACTCCTAATGGGTATTATAGAAACCCCTGGGCTAGGACCTCAGGGGTTTAAATAAAAGAGGCATTATTCTAGCCTGCTCACTACTTGTACCCTAGTCAAGGCTGCAGATACTAAGCTGATAATAAGACAAGTATGTGATTACAAAATAAGGTGAGTGGAAATAAGGAAAATTATTGCATACTATCTAATAACAAGACAGGGTTTGGAGGTCTTCTCTGAGAAAATGATGTTGGAGCCAAGATCCGAAGGGTGTGTAAGGACAGAAGGCATTTCTGATCAAAGCAAGGGAGAAAAACAGCCTCAAGTGGGAGGAAGCCTCCTGTCCTTGCAGAATTGACAAAGGCTAAGAAGGTCAGAGCCCAGAGTGGAAGTGGGTAAGGTCTGAGCTGTAGGCAGCAACCTCATGGACCATAGGACTTCACCTCCTTCAGGGTAAGGACTGAGGTTTTCCATTTTGACATTGGGGTCTCTCAGAGCAGGCATAGTGTCAACTGTTTTATAGATGTTAAAATGATGGAAGTTATCTGAAAGGGCTTGTTTTAACTAGCTAATTTTATTTTCTTGATAATTAAATAAATATATGTTTTTCTTTCTAAAATTCTGAACTGATAAACACTATAGAAGAGGTCATCTTAAAACCTTGTAAAGAAAATAAAAATCGTGTTCCCAGGTCATCTTCAAAACTGCAATCCTCATTAATTCCTAAAACTAAATTCCAAAAAATTGTTTGAAAAGACAGACCTAAAATAGTCTCAATGGTAAGACAAGGAAGACACTAGTATTTTTGTTTGTTTTCTGACAAACCACCGTATTTCATGTGCATCAAAGCCTTCTGTGTTTTTCTTGCTATATCTGCCCCATGAAGGGACAGTCATTAGTAGTAAAAAAACCACAGCTTGGGGAAGGATATGCATAGCAGTCAAATATTCCAGTAAAGTATTTCCTTTTGATTCCACTCTAACCCAATCTACCATCATGACTCAGATTTGTTTGCCTTCAGAGTCAATGACAATTAGCCATAGGTAGTACAGAAAGAAAAGAATATAAAAATAAAATATAAAATAAATAAGTATATATTTCAATATACAGAGTATGTTATGTATAATTTGCATGACTATATAAACAGAAGCTATCAAATATTTATGAATAAATACAATAAATAAATGAGACAATAATGATAAACAAGAAACACATTTAACAAGAAATCTGCTGTAAAGTTTCATTGATGATCTATTTATTACATTGACTATTCCCAAACACACTGTTTTTAAGGTAACTTGCTTAGCACTTTACTGTTTTGCTTTTAATGAAGTGAAGCATTTTATAAACTATGGTATTGAGAAACTTTGAACACTAGATGGCGAGATTGCAAAGTTAGACAATGGGATGGTGTAAAAATTGTGAAGGATGAAGGGCCGCAGAATCATTCTTCCTCTACCAGCAATTTTCTTAGCACCAAAGCTGCAGTAATGTTCCAAGAATAGAAATATTTGAGCCATGAATCAAGGTAAGAAAGGTGGAGTGGGATGATTATTTTATTCCTTCCCAGAAGTGATACATTATAAGAGCTTTCTAGCATTATAGTATATATGCACACAGCTAATTATATAGAAATGATGAAGAAAAAATGAACAATTATATATATATTTTTTGATTAACAAAGGTTATTAACTTTTTGCTTAAAGGCTAAGATTTAAAAATTTATGACTCTCTTTTTGGGGCTTTATTAAACTTAGGCTACTCAGTAGAGATAGAGAGTTCTGCATTTTTCTAGAGTTTTCATTTTTGCTTTGTCCTTTCTCACCGAAGAAAATAATCATTTCTGGATAGAATCTAATATATTTTTCCAGTTCTGATTCACCTCAAGAGGTTCTCAGTCACATGTCCTAATTGTCAGCAGGCTACCTATTGCAATGGGGAAGTCTGGCGTTTCTCTGAAAAATATCTTTGTATGTTCAGTCTATAAAATAGCAACCCTGTCAATCATACTCTCTAGCCTTCTATCTCCTATTGAAAATCCACTACTTTGCCAAATTAATATTTACTTCAATATGTTTAACCAATTAATTAGATATCAATAATATGTGTTAATTGCCCAATGTGCCTAAAAGAAAGTGCCATCTTTGTCTCAGAGAAATACATTTCAGTCTTCACCAAAGTGAAGTGAAGTGACTGCACTGTGGCAAAAGTCTATGTACAATGGAGAATAAAAATCCTTCACCTAATAACAACAACACATCTGCAAACATCAAGGCCTCACTGAAGGCCAATGAGTAGGTTATGCTATTAACCCCATTTAGGGTACTTTAACAGGAAACTGCACAGACAAAAATTCTTTTTGGCTAATCACTGAGATACGAGATGCTGTAGAGTCATGCTCTTTGGTATGTTAAATAAAATTGAAACTGGCCCAAGGAGTCCTCCCTACAAGCTCCTAACTGCAACCTAACTCAGTACCAAAAACAAAGTGAAAACCTAACTAGGAACAAATAGCTGAGTTTCAGCCAATCACAGGCAGCTGTTCAAACCATGTATGAGATGCATGCCATGTAATGGGGCTGTCTCTGTACCTCGCTTCTGTTTTCTGTAGGTAACTTCTTTTTCTCTGCCTGTAAATATAACCTGCACATGTGGTAGGGTGGAACATTCTGAACCATTTTGGCCCAAACTGCTGTTAGATTCTAGAATCACAAAAAAAGCCAATGAAGATCTACTAAACTAGATTTGTTGTAATTCTGTCTTTTAACAGGTAGAAGTTCAAAACTATTTGCTAACGTAAAGTCATTATACAGACTCAAGTCCCTTTCACTCAGCTGGTAGTAGAGTCTTTTCAGAAGGTAAGATACATAATCAAGCACATTATATCCAGTGGTAGGAAAAAGGCAGCACAAGATAGGCCCAAAGATCTGAGTGAAAGAGCTATCAGACCAGGAGGAGCTTTGTAGCATATGTCCCTTAACTGAGCAACATATAAGTTTGGTTCTTATATTGTACTTGGACTTTACGTCTGAATCGTGTTTCCTCCTGGTTATTGCTTTTTTACAAACTTAAAGGGAGAATTACATGAGGCTTCCTATGATTGACTTAATTTTATATTCTGATAGGTCTACTTTGATCATTCTGGGATCAATCATTCACTCAACAAGTAGTTCCTGAACACCTATGATGTGCACAGCCTCATGCTAAATGCTAGGTGAAAAATAAATGAACAACATTTATTCTTCGTTTGAGTTTATATTTCTAACTGATCACCAACACTTTTCCACACCATGCCTCATTTTCTTCTACTTCGTAACACTTTCTGTATATTCTAACTGCTGAGTTTCTGCTAGGTATGTGAACTGAAGAATGTTCTTTATATTTCCTGGAAATTATCTGTCCTACTTATCATCTAGGTGCAACATAGGCCTCTTATTAATCTGAACAAGGATAAAGGAGTGTGACAAGAATCCCTCCTTGCTCATTCTCTATCCCCATTCCTCCTTTCCTCATAAACATACTTACACACACTGATAAATCCAAATGCCACCATAATTACAAGTATAATATTACACAGACAAAACCTTGGAACATTTAAGCCTCAAAATTAGAAATGGGAATTTTTCACTCTGAATACTATGTAGAGAATACGGTATAATCCCTTGGTTTAACTGAATAGAATGAATTTTCAATGCACCCACACAGGAAGTTATTAAAGATATTGTGAACTTATCTGCAACAAGCACAATGAGATGACCTAAAACTCACTTAGAATTAAAAAAATAATAATAATGTCATATCCATCAGCCTCCAGGGAGAACGTACATGAGACTGAAAGCATTTGGCAGTACTTCCAACACCAATGCTACCACGAAATGGTCTTGCTTAAGCAGTCCTCTGCTTTGCCTGCTGAGTTCAGCAAGACACAGAAAAGCAATTCCAAAGACACTAAGCAGCTCCAGACTAAATTCAGCATCTCTTTAAAAAGTCTGGTTCTGTTCAAACTTATTTTTTTATGTATCTGTCAAAACAGATGCACTTTTCAGCAGTGAAACTAGAATCTGGTTAAACTGTCATGGCTTATTGCACAGTTACATAAATGTCACCACTGAATTATATACAAAACCAAAGGACTGTTTCACCTCCAGGCTAAGTGCTGGACTACATTGAACTAGTGCTTGTCCCAGTAGAATTATCCTGGTTTAAAGCTACTGATGGCAGAGAACTGCATGATCCTGCTATGGTCTGAATATCCCTCCTATCCTCTTCGTACATCAAAGCCCTAACTCCTAATGTAATGGTACTTGGAGATAGGGCTCTGGGAGGTAATTAGGGTTAGATGAATTCATGAGGGTGCGGCCCTGGCCTGATGGGATTAGGGCTTTTATAAAATGAGACACTAAAAAGCTTGCTCTTTCTCTCTCCCCTTGTCCAAGAATCCAGTCAGAGACAGTTATCTGCAAGCCAAAAAGACAGCCTTCACCAGAGCACAACCATATTAACACCCTGATCTTAGATTTCCAATTTCTGGAACTGTGAAATGAGAAGTTTCTGTTGTTTCAAGCTACCAGTCTACAGTATTTTATTATGACAGTTTGAATTGACTAAAACAACCCCCAAGTCTACTTTTGGTGAGCTTGTCTATAAAACTGTTGATGGAACTGTCAGAGTACCAGGTAATGAAATGTTATTGCAAAAGCAGAAACATGCTTTCAGTTAATGTGAATTTATGGAAACACTCTCAGATAAACCAATGTGATATAGAAAACAAGGATTCACAACCTTGGCTGCACACTGGAATTACCTGAAAACTTTTTCTAATAATTGCTGACTAGGTTTTATACATTCTGGTATAATTGATCTGGGTTAAAGCTTTGGCATTGATATTTTATTCTCACATGCAGCCAATATTGAGAAACACTGATACAGAACATGTATTTGGAGTGGAAAATTCCAAAGGAGGGAATTCCAAAGAAAGGAGGGAGTTCCAATGTGTAATGGTCACGAGTTTAAATCTGAACATTTCTAACATCCATGGGAGCCTACTAGTTACATATTTGTCTTTCCAGTATTCCCCAGTGGAAGACGTGGTGGAAAGAACGTTGGTGGGGACATAGTGCCTGATATGATTTGGCTCTGTGTCCCCACTCAAATCTCATCTTGTAGCTCTCATAATTCCCACGTGTTGTGGGAGGGACCCAGTGTGAGATGATCGAATCATGGGGGCTGGTCTTTCCTGTGCTGTTCTCATGATAGTGAATGGGACTCATGAGATCTGATGGTTTTAAAAATGGGGAGTCTGCCTGCCCAAGCTCTCTCTTTGCCTGCTGCCATCCATGTAAGATGTGACTTGCTCCTCCTTGCCTTCCACCATGATTGTGAGGCTTCCCCAGCCATGTGGAACTGTGAGTTCTCCATGAAACCTCTTTCTTTTGTGAATTGCGCAGTCTCCGGTATGTCTTTATCAGTAGCATGAAAACAGACTAATATAGTGCCCAGCTTTACCAAACTGTCACATTGATCTTTTCTTTCCTCCCTCTAGAATTTCTTCTGTGTATAGAGGCATGTGTGTAGAGACTCCTCCCTTTCAATGCTAGTTTATCATGTACAAAGAATATTTGACAGTTTAATATACATTCACTCCAACATCCCATATGTGCAAGCGCATGCATGTGAGTACACACACACACACACGTATACACAAATCACTCTCTTTACGTATATAAGATACTCAATAATAAACAAATAAAAATAAAATACCTTGTAGTATAGCTGTAAGATAGAGATTACTTTGAGCAATCCCAGTTTGGTGCTTCTAAACAACAGACTCCTCAAAAAGAAAGTAGCTAACTCCCTAAACTGAAAAAAATTATGGATATTTATTAATTTTCTATCTCTGACTAATATTTCCCATGAGTAAGTCTCTATTTCAATGTTTCTTTGACACCTTACTTGCCTTTCCCTTCCACCTCCTTGCCTCTTCTCTGACCACCATTCCTTACTAGTTAGCTCCCAAGCTCTTCTTCCTCTGCTGGCCTCTAAGTGGTGTTGTTTTCCTGGATAACCTGCACACTCTTTGTATTAATCCATGAGTTCCACTATCACTTTGCTACAAGACTACATAATATCTATCACTGCATCAGACCTTTCCACTGAATTTTTAGATGTTTCATACATATTTGAACTTCATGTGAACAAAATTGACTGGCAACAACAGAAAAATCTCCCCTTGTGTAAAATTGTTTCTCTTTTAGCATTTTTTTTTCACAGTGGATGGCCTCACCATTTACACAAACAAGCAAGAAACCTAGAAGTCAAACTAAATTTGACTGTCCCCAGGACTCTAAATCTAACAGTGATTGGTGATTCTCTGACTGAGCAGTATGTTGGAATTACCTGGGAAGTTTAAAAAGAAATACAAATGCCTGGTTCATATATATTCTGACATAACAGCTTATGAATCCATACTTTCTTTGGCAGTCTTACTGACAATGCTTAAGTTCAAGTTTATATTACTCACCTCCACTAACACAATACCATATTAACTGGTCTTCCTGATATCAAGCCTGTCCTCCTAGCACATGAATACATACCTAACTAACCTGCACGTTGTGCACATGTACCCTAAAACTTAAAGTATAATAAAAAAAAGTTGAAAAAAAACATATATAAGTGGTAATCATCAGTACTAAATATAAATAACAAACAAAATGAATTGTTGTATAGCTTTTGAATACGATATTTGAATGCAAAGGGCAATTGTTTAAGCATAAATAAACAAATATGTATCCCACAAAAAACACTTATTTTATAAATTAGTCATTAGAGTTGTCATTTAGTTTGAATTAATATGTTTGAGAGCATCAATTCACTTTAGAATAATGTGCCTATGTAAATTAAAAATTTAGACTAAAGAATAAAAATAAATTCTGACATTTTCTATTATAGTACCAAGGTGTTTTAACCAAAAAAGAAAGGTTAGCAGGATCGAGACACTTATAAGGCTTAATGTAGAACATTCAGAAAAGTTTCCTTAAAGCAATAATTACATCAGAATAAAACTCTTTTAAACAGGCTATTTTGTACAACATATGCATTCAGTTCCAATAATAACAAAACCTAATTAAAACCTTAAGTGCTGTCAGTTACAAAATAAATCAACACAGTTATTAAAATGACTCAGTATGTCCCTTCAGCTTTACTGATTTTAGACCCAAGATTCAATCTTATATCCAAATTTAACTTAGAAGTAACATTCAAATGCACACAATACATCTCATACTGCAAATGACACTAGTATTTCCCAAACTTACAAAAAAACCCATTAACTTTCTCCCAAAGTGATTAAATCTAAAGTCAATGAGCCCACAAAGACTTTTCTATTAAACTAAGATTCTAGTCATATCAATGATCTATATAATTATTTAGAACAAGTATTGACATTTGAAAGTAAACAATGATAAAGATATGATAGTTTGCAAACTACAGAGATTCTATTGTAAATGTGTGTACATACACATATTACACACACATAAATGTACATACATACAGATACATATATATTTTGTTCTTTGTAGAATTATTTTAAACATATCCAATCAGTTTTATGGTATGAAAAAAAAAATCAAAGCTCCTGTGGGATGTTGTTCTCTTCTCAGTGTCAGTAGATCTTCATTACATTGATTTTTAATTGTCCCAGGAGAAAGCTAAAGCCTTGAGGTCCCACAGAGTATCTGTAGTTACCAGTGGACAAAGTAGTTAGTTTGCTTAAGACTTTTAATAAACATGGGCATTCTAGATCTAGATTGGGAGTCATAATGAAGTAACATCCACACATTAACTCCTTCTCTGACTACTCTGTGGAACATGACTTCCTAAATTCACAAAGTATAACATAAATACTAAGGAATGCAAGAATGATTTAAAAGATTGGTAGATATTGCCAATTCAGGTGACCTATTTTCAGGTGGATATAACCTACTCACTGTAAGAGACACAACAAGAAAACACATTTGTAGAAATTTTAATGTTACACTTAACAAATAGCACCTATACTATATACTATAATATCCACCATACAATAGATTACACGACTAGTTTGAGAGAGGTGAGCTTCTTTCTCACCTCACATTTCTCCCAGGAATGACTCAGAAATAAAAAGAATGGAATGAAATAATGCACAATCTCTAGGTGCACTATAATGATGCAGTTATCTCATTAGATTCTATAGATAATGAGTTTTGATTTTTTGCTAAGCTGGGTACACTATTTTCCTAACCTTTGATTCCTGATACACAAACACTTAATAGTATTTTTTCATTGAGAGTTTACATAGCTGTTCCAATTTTCATGTCTTTCCATTATTAGTAAATGTATTAATGTACGCCTGAGACTTCATCACACAGCCCTTTCTTGCTTCAGTCGGACCTAGGGCTTGAAGCACAATGGGTGTAATTTCAGTTTCACATGGTCTTAAAAGTTTTGGCAAACTGTTAATGAACTGACATAGCAAAAATAGAGAAGTTTTGGCTGTACTTAGTTACTTCACCATTGTATTCTGCCTGCCTACATGTTTTTCCCTTCGCTAAGCTCTGCAGATGGAGTTTCAGAAGAAACAAAGGAAATGTAATCTTCATAATACATTCAACAATTTTTCTCATAATCGGAGAGACTTTAGATTATGTAACCAAGGACTTCCCAAGAGAAGTATTATCGGTGTTTTCATGCTGAGGGGTACATTTATGCTTAAATATGTGTGTGTGTGTATGCACGTGTGCATATGTGTGTGTATATTTTCTAACAGCATTTAAAAGCCATATTATATATACTTTAATATTTCCATTTTTAAATAAAAAATAAAATATGGCCAAACATCGCAAATAATTTTCTAGCTAATGAAGGCTAGAAAGTAACTTATTAATGTGTCCCCAACAATGACTTTACTGCATGTCACTCATTTCCTGCCATATTCACCACAAGTTTAGAGAATTATGATTATCTAATTCCGGGATGAACAATGAAAAAACACATATATTCTTTTCTAGAAAATATATTTTCTTCCAATAAAAATAAATAAAGTAAACAAATCCTTGTGCTTCATGCAAGAAATGAGTAACTAGAAGCCTAGTTTTACGCAGCTGAATCTCTAACTCATAGTGTAAGAGGAATATTAAAAAGATTTTCTTGTATATCCAGTTGAGTCAACAAGTTATTGCCAAAATCATTCAAGTCCACACAAAACTTGTCCCTTTTACTTCAACAATCTTTTATTCCAACATGGAAGTATTCTTAGTGTACTGGACTGGACGATACCACCTTAGTTTATTAATATGTATGTATAAATTGAGGGGAACACATAAAAAGCTTTAAAAGAATCCAGTTGTGTCTTTCCTATGGCTCTCACATTAAAATGCAGTCGTGTGCTTTGCTAGAAGGGATCCTTTGTCACTACATGTCAGATGTTTCTTATATTAGTGTTTTCTGTTTGGACTACTTTGTAAGAGGGGTCAGAGTGAGGAAAGAGAGTGATGAAACAAATTTATTGAGAAGAGGCAAGTTTTTTGTTTTATTCTGGTTTGGTTCTTGTTATTATTGCTTTGTTATAAATCAAAATCTAGTTTACTTTGGAAGTATAGTGCATCGATATTCATGACAGCATTTCAGGAGCAGAAAACAAATAAAGGTACTGGTCCTGACTTAGAACTGTGGTTTTTATGAAATTTTGAACCCATTCATAGATAGGACTATGACTTTGTACACTGACCCAGGCAGGCATTTGGCCTTAGATGACAAAAATTAAATTCCAACAAAAGTTTAGAAATTATTTTGCAACATGATAATTTTCAAGTTTCCTAAATTCTAATCTATAGAAACAAGCACTTGAGTTTTCTACTTCCTGAGATATCAGAAATATGGGTATTTTTTCATTCAACAATGACATTCAAAATACACTCCTAGTGTTGACTTATTCATCGAATATTTATTGAATGCCTACATTATATCAGACATTATTCTAGGCATTAGAGATAAAAAAGATAATTAAGATTCACAAAATCCTCCACCTTCTTTGAGTTCATCTTCTAGTTCTATGTGTTTTACTTTATGAACACAGAGTTTTCAATGAATATCCACAGTGATGTCCTCTTGGGTATGTAAATGTGTGTTCCCATGATATCACAGACATTTATCTCAACACTAAACTGATATTCCCAGAACATTACTATTAATTCCTTAGAGACTCTGTAACCATTTCCTTAACACGGATTATCAAAAGAATCAGGAAAATAAAATATTTTAAAACCGCCTTCTAAAGAGTAACTTGAATTCTTTTAAAACTTTTTATCTGTTCCCCTCAATTTATATATACATATTAATGATAAGGGTGGTATCATCAAGTGCAATATGTTAAGAATACTTCTATGTTGGAATATAAGATTGTTGAAGTATTCAGAGAAGGAACAAGTTTTGTGCGGACTTGATTGATTTTGGCAACAACTTGCTGACTTAACTGGATACACCAGAAAATCCTTTTAATTTCTGTCTTACACTATGAGTTAGAGATTCAGTAACTAAGCCTCTGGTTACTTTTTAGAATGGCTCATAAAAAGTAAAAAATAGCCATAATCACATGAAAAAAAGGTTGAACATCACTAGTCACTTGGAAATTGCATGTCAAAAACTAAAATAAAAGGCCATTTCATATTCACTAGAATGGGTAGAATAAAAAGTCATAACCCTCATACATTGCTGTTGGAAATATCAGATGGTTCCGCCTTTTTGGAAAGCAGTTTAACAGTTCCTCAAATGTTAAACATAGATATGACCCAGCAATTCCACTTCTAGGAATAGTCCCAAAGGAAATTAAACATATCTCTACACAAAAGCTTGTACACGAATCACGGAAATCTTATTGATAATAGCCAAAAAGTAGAAACAACGTCAATGTCTACCAACTGACGGATGAATAAACAAAATGTAGTATATCCACAAAATGAAATTCAACTCTTCAATAAAAGGGAAAAACTACTGATATATGTTATGACATGGATGTGTCAGAGGCATGTGAACCATAGCAACTCCATCTAGAATAGGGGCTGGGTAAAACGAGGCTGCAAGTTACTGGACTGCATTCCCAGATGGTTAAGGCATTCTAAGTCACAGGATAAGATATGAGAGGTCAGCACAAGATCCAGGTCATAAAGACCCTGCTGATGAAACAGGTTGTAGTAAAGAGGCCAACCAAACCCCCTCAAAACCAACATGGCAATGAGACTGACCTCTGGTCATCCTCACTGCTACGCTCCCACCAGCGCCATGACAGTTTACAGATGCCATGGCAATGTCAGGAAGTTACCCTATATGGTCTAAAAAGGGGAGGCATGAATAATCCATCGCTTGTTTAGCATATCATCAAGAAATAACCATAAAAATCAGCAACCAGCAGCCGTCGGGGCTGCTCTGTCTATGGAGTGGCCATTCTTTTTATTCCATTACTTTCCTAATAAACTTGCTGTCACTTTACTCTACGGACTCGCCCTGAATCCTTTCTTGCAGGAGATCCAAGAACCCTCTGGACCCTTTTCCCATAACAGATGAACCTCAAAAACATTATGTTAAGTGAAAGCTGGATGCAAAAGAACAGTGAATGATTCCATTTATAAGAATTTCCAGAAAAGGAAAAATCTATAGAGACAGAAATCAGATTAGTGGTTGCCTGGGAAGGAAGAGGAGCTGAGGATAACAGTAAATGGGCATAAGAAATCTTATTGGGGTGATAAAAATGTTCTCAAATTGATTTATGGTAATGGTTGCATGACTTGGTAAATTTGCTAAAAATCACTAGGATTGTACCCTTGAAATGAGTGAATTATGAAATGTAAAACATGATTCCTTTTATTTCAAAAACATGACTTTAAGGGATATGCTTTCATGCAAGAAAATTTACAATCTGAGTCATAAAACACAGAAAAAACACACTTTCATAATATAAAATCTTATAGGTATCTTACTTATTTTCAGTAGGAATTATCTTAGAGGTTTCAAACCATGAATGAAGACTTCCTGGATTAAACATACTGAAGAGTTTCTGGTGAAATACTAGTCTCTGTATCACATAGATTCAAGCATATTACTTTTCCTTATACCATAAAATGTTAGTGACAATCATCAATACCATCATTATCCCCATCATCATACTCACAATGACAATAAAAAGTGCCCCATAACATGCCAGGGCCTGTGCAATTTCACTTACATATTCCAGGTGTTTTTGTTCCATTTTGTCTTATTTTTAAGTGAATGAATACAACAACCCTGTGAGATTAGACATTATGATTTCTATTTTATATGAGGAAATTAGTTTTGAGAAGTTAGGTAACGAGTTTCGGTTCATTAACATGGGTAGTAAGTGGCAGATTTAGTCCCACATTTTTCTGTCATGGAAGCCTGAACTTTTAACTTCCACACTACGTTCTTGCAAATAAGTAGACAAACACCAACTGATAGATATGCCCAATAATGAAAAACTTATTGGTTAATTGGGCACTTTTATTTATAACCCCATTGGGTTTCAGTGGAAGTGAGCCAAAATTCTGCAAAGATAAATTGAAAGGAAAGCAAAGCTCATACTCCCAATTCTAGATGCATGGGCTTTTTAGATATATCACAGAGTAAAACATGATGCAACATGACAGATTTCTAGTTTACACCCTGTCCCACATAAAATATTTAGTTAATACCCATTCATGGAGGTATTTCTCACATATGAGATATTTTTCCTTAAAGCCTGTTATTTTTCAGACTTTGGTGTGTTTATAAAGCAGTTTCATGGAACTCTTGTGAGTTATTCTTTGTTCAAATTAGAGAAGAAGCCAAGCATTTAAAGGAAAGAGGCCTCCCAGTGTTAGCAAAGAGTGACCTGACTGTATTTCCCAAAGTGTGGGTTATTCCAAGTAATTTAAGGTGCCACAGAAACAGGATATTGACTTCAAATAACTTAACAGAAATACTAATTTCTAAATTTCAATTCTCCTGATTACATCAAAGAGGAAGCATCAGTTGGGAAAAAGAGGCATGTTAAAATGGTACCAGCACATGCCAATCTCCATTTTCATCAAATCAACAGAGGGCCTTAGGGTCAGCATCTTCAGAAAGAAGCTGTGTCCAGGGACATTTAATAACATGTTCTTGTCATTGTGCTTATGTTACATTGACCTCGTGTTTATGCAAGTAGTGCTGGTTTTCAAAGAGCAATAATATATAAATTCCCTTTTACCCCAAAACTGATAAAGAAAACTGTGAATACATTTAAAGAAAAATATCAGTAAACCTAGTGCAGGCGTTATATGGAAATGGCTAAAATCATGAGGGTGAGAGACAGGACTAGCTGGATTTCCTAGGCTGACTAAGAATCCCTAAGCATAGCTGGGAAGGTGACTGCATCCACCTTTAAACAAGCGGCTTGCAACTTAGCTCACACCTGACCAATCAGATAGTAAAGAAAGCTCACTAAAATACTAATTAGGCAAAAACAGGAGGTAAAGAAATAGCCAATCATCTACCGCCTGAGAGCACAGCGGGAGGGACTATGATCGGGATATAAACCCAGGCATTTGAGCCAGCAACAGCTACCCTCTTTGGGTCCCCTCCCTTTGTATGGGAGCTCTGTTTTCACTCTATTAAATCTTGCAACTGCACTCTCTTCTGGTCCGTGTTTGTTAGGGCTGGAGCTGAGTTTTCACTCGCCATCCACCACTGCTTTTTGCTGCCTGCCGCTGACTTCCACCCTGGCTGGGTGTCGGCTGTGCTCCTGATTCAGCGAGGCGTCCATTGCCCCTCCCGATCGGGCTAAAGGCTTGCCATTGTTCTGCATCGCTAAGTGGGTTCCTCCTAATGGAGCTGAACACTAGTCACTGGGTTCCACGGTTCTCTTCCATGACCCACGGCTTCTAATAGAGCTATGACCCACGGCTTCTAATAGAGCTATAACACTGACTGCATGGACCAAGATTCCATTCCTTGGAATCCGTGAGGCCAAGAACCCCAGGTCAGAGAGCACAAGGCTTGCCACCATCTTCAAAGTGGCCCGCCACCATTTTGGAAGCGGCCCACCTCCATCTTGGGAGCTCTGGGAGCAAGAACCCCCGGGTAACAAGGGTAGTATGTGAATGAGAGAAGTTTGAGAAATACTTAAAGACAATAGTTATCAAATTTTGTCACACCATCATACCTTTAAGAAATGCATCAAAAAATAGGAACGTTAAGAGTTACTGTAAATAAACAGCTATTCAGGATTTTAGGGGCTAGCCCCTCTCCTTGACTTCAGAAAATCATTTAGTGTGCTGAAAATAGGTAGCCAGTTTACCATTTACACACACAGGGCTTGCCTTAGGCAAATTCCTGGGAGTCAGTTCTTTGCTTTTCCAACTCTTTAAGAATGTAAATTCCTCCCTTTTACTGGTTCACATGCCCTCAAGCTACCATTTGCTTTCTCCACTTTCTTCCATCAAGCCCTGCCCTAAGATCTTTTATTCACACTATGATATTGAGGCTCTATAACTGTACAGTTTGCTACTGAAATCTTTAGAGTTTGAGTTTTTGCATGGAATAAAGTGTAAAGAGGGAGGGGTGTATCTTTCAGGCTGTCTTGAAACTTCAGGCCCTATTCAGCAGGAAGGAAATCATGTATTTTACACATCAACTCTATACCCCAGAAAATAGTTTATCTCACAATAGCATATGGTTTGCCTAGCCCAGTCAGAACTGATATGTTGCTCCCAGTAATGGTGTGATGTTGATTCTGCTGCTATCCTTTCCCCATTTCATATATAAGAAACAGAGTTACATCAATTCTAATGATCAATGTCCTTTACCATACACTCCTGCAGCTGATAGTCTAGCTAGTATTTCCCAAGTTATGGTTTTAGGACCATGCATATAAGAATTACCTGGGAGATGAATGCCATGTGGAGATGGGGGCAGAGGTTGGAGTTATGTAGCTACAAGCCAAGGAACGACAAGGGTTGCTGGCAAATATCGGAATTTAAGAGACAGGCATGAAACAGATACTTCCCTAAATCCTTCAGAGAGAGCATGGCTCTGCTGACATCTTGATTTGGATTTTCAGCTTCCAGAAATATGAGATAATAAGTTACAGTTTTTGTTTTGTTTTGTTTTGTTTTTAGCTACCCAGTTTGCAATGCTTTTTTATGGCAACCCTAGGAAAATAATACAGGGATCATGGAAAACTCCAGAAGGAAGGGGAATTGGGTGAATTTGTTAGGCTCTTCCAACTGGAAAGGAGCACATGCTGAGGGTCGGGGTGGGGGGTAGGCGGGGGGAGCATGGGCTTATTCAAATAGTCATGTATAGGGACTTGGATTTTAAAACAGAAAAGGGACAGGTTCTGCTGTTTAGAAAGAGATCTGGGCTCTGGGCCGAGAGCAGCCCTTCTACTACTGAACAGCAGCAGCAAAGCCATGAGAATGTGTAGCACTGCCTCAGTACAAACACTCAAACATTTTATTATTTATTTATTTATTTATTTTTGAGACAGAGTTTCACTCTTTTTGCCCAGGCTGGAGTGCAATGGCACAATCTCGGCTCACCGCAACCTCCGCCTCCTGGGTTCAAGTGATTCTCCTGCCTCAGCCTCCTGAGGAGCTGGGATTACAGGCATGCGCCACCACACCCAGCTAATTTTTTGTATTTTTTAGTAGAGACAGGGTTTCTCCATGTTGGCCAGGCTGGTCTTGAACTCCCGACCTCAGGTGATACACCCGCCTTGGCCTCCCAAAGTGCTGGGATTACAGGCGTGAGACACTGCACCCGGCCAAACATTTTAAATACTAAGCTAGAACAAATTAAAACAAGCAAGGATCTTCCAATTTTAGTATATGTGCTGCCGAGCATTTTAAATACTAAGCTAGAACAAATTAAAACAAGCAAGGATCTTCCAATTTTAGTATATGTGCTGCCGAAGGGAGCACGAGCAAGGATCTTCATTTGTAAAACAAGTAGGTATTAGGATATTCTCTTGATAAATGTTTGGTGCATACTATACGCCAGCTGTTGTGCTCAGAGAGGGGTGTAGCATCAGGACAGGTAAGGATCCTGCCCTCAAGGAGCTTAAATTGGCATGGGGAAGGCAGATGATAAGCAGTAAAGAAACAAACAAACAAGATAACTACTAAAGGAGCTCAAATGCCTTGAAGGGAATAAACAGAGTAATCTTAGATAGAAGCTTCAGGAAGTTGAGGATTAAATGAAATAATCAGGATAGTATCCAGCACAAGGTAGGTTATTATTGATAAAGTTACTATTCTTCCTTAAAGGATGAACATTTTATCTACTAACTACCTCCTGTATTTTAATTTGCAGCAGCAGATGATGGATTTTTCTGCCCTAAACAAAACATCTTTTTTTCTTGTTATGTTTGGGGCAGCTCATTTGTTTTAATGCAATGGTGGTCAAATGGGTTTTCCAATCTCTGATTGCAAAGTGCACATATGCTCTGTCAAAAACAAGAGCCTAGACTGAACAGACCAGATTTCAGAGCCCTCCACTGTTTCCTCTTCCTTTCCTCTGATCCCTGTAACCAACTCTCAGTCAGAGTGATCTCTGTTGCCTCACTGGCCCCAGCTTTTTGCCTTGGAGGACGGGCTTATTTACGTCTCCTTACAGCACCTTCTCCTGTCTTCCCTTGGAATCCAGATCTCATTCTCCCCTCCACATTGGACACTCTCCTCATTTCAACATCTTTATGCTTATAATAATTGCACTAGTGCCTATGAGTCTCCCTCTGCCCTGACCTCGTGCCTGCTCTCTGCCAGTCTCTCTGCTGGGTGCAGATGATAAATCCATGACTAAGAGGACAGGGTTCCTGCCTCTGGGCAGCACAGGCAGATTAAAAAAAAAAAAATCGCCTGTGGATTTACCATGCAGATTCCTAGGCATTCTCCAACCATTTAAATCAGAATGAGAGCAAGTGGGGTCTGGGTTTCTGAATCTTAAGGTATTTCTCTAAGTCATTCTTACACATACTGATACTGAAAAATCTCTCCTATGTCTGTAGTACTCCCTACTTTCAAGTTCACTTTTTCATAACTCAGTTCAGTAATTCCCAGACCTAAATTCCTTCCCAGAGGATTAAATTAAAATATGTCTGGCTTTTCTGTCTCCTAAATTTTAGGCTTTTATTTTTTCATTTTATCTCTGTGGACTTGCAGTTTATTTAGTCACCAAAACAAATTTGAAAAATAAGTGAAAGGGGAGAATAGCAGAAAGAGGAACAAGGGAAGTGTGAACTGAGTATGTGGGTGGGCAGCTGGGGGACCTGAAACAGCAGTTGTTTTACAGGATTCTTGGACAGAATGTGTAAAATTACTGGCTTCATGAAGCCTCTGTCCTTGCTCCTGAACACTGTGTTGTTAAGAGCGTATTCTGTTGCCCAGCAGTTAATGCTAGGATGGTGACCACACTGCCATTCTTGACCCTACCTTCCCAACGCTTCCAAAATGTATCTTCTTGAACAGCTGATACCATCTGGAGGGCTTTGGTAACAAAATAATATTCAATATCTAATTTGATTTTACACATTCTAGATTTCATTTTTGTCCCCTCAAAACTTGGAAGTTTAATATAAAAAGTTATGTTTTAATTTGTTTTCATTTCTAAATAGAAAGAATAAAGACAAGAATGGTTAGAAACTATGATATCTGTTTTCTTTTGTTTGTTTGTTTTTACAGTTGACAGGAACTGAAAGAATACAAATTCTTTCAGGTCAATGAGAACGCCCTTTCTCACAAAATTCACTGGCCAAGGAGTATGTGGGAATATGTCATAACCGTAGGAACAATGAGTCATGCCTATATAAAAGTATCAAACTTGAACTTCAGAACTGGAAAAAAGAGTATACAGTATAATTAAAGAAGAGCAGAAAGTACATGGCTTAATAAAGGCTCATCCATGCACTCACAACTACTCCAAATTCCAATAGCGTATGAATTTCAAATGTTTTTTTCTCACACCACCTTTTCTGTTTTTCCCTCACACAGGACAAAGTGTTTCTTCTCATTCAAATGTGAAATATTATCTTCCAAATCCCAAATGGATCCATAGCTTCCAAAGCACAGGCAGATGTATGAATACATGCTCTTCAGCTGAGGACAGATATGTGCAAAACATTGAAAACAAATGGGGCAGAATTAAAGAAACCAATGTACTGATACAATGAATTATTACATAGTCCTTAAGATCACACATTATATAGTCCTGAAGATCACACACAGTGAAAACTACTTAATGACATGGGAAAATGTCCATGATATAATGTGAAGGAGAAAAAGTAAGATATAAAAGCTGTATGGTTCCGATATATTTTATACATAGCTGAATTTTGACACATCTAAATCTCTGCTTATCTATTTATTTATCTGCTATGTATAGAAAGAGCTCTCTGGAGTGTCGAATTTTAAAATATTCATATTTCCTTCTTGTATTCTTCCATATTCTAAATTGTACATAAAACGTTATAATCAAAATATAACTTTAATAATATTGAAATTAAACTTAATAACTTTATGGTATTAAATTAAATAATATTCAAATTAAACTTAATAACTTTATGATATCAAATTAAACTTAATAACTTTATGATTTTTAAAATGCTATTTAAAAATTAAATTTCAGGGCTTAACATTAGAGGTACAATGTCAGTGACTAGAGATTGTCTTTGCAGAATACCTGTGGGAACTTCTTTCTAGGTTTTAATAAATATATTTTAACAAAGACAAAACCTGAATCTTATTGACTCTTTGGTGAGAAATAAGCATTATTAGAATCAACAGGGAAAATATTTATTCATTCTTACTCTTTAAAATGTTTCACAAGGAAACATTTCTGTATTTACAACTTAATATCTATTCAAAGCATTATGCACAGTCTGTATTTTTATCATTTTGAGGCTATGGACCCCAAACGGATCCATAGCTTCAAAAGCACAGGCATATTTAAGAACACAGATGCTCTTCAGAAGAGGGCAGATATGTACAAAACATTGAAAACAACAGGGGAAGGATTAAAGAACCTGGGTGAGATAAACTTGAACTAACGAACGTTCCCTGGCAGTTTGTCTCCACATCCCAATGACTAAAGTTGAGCTAGGCCTTGACCATGTGAAAGATCAAACAGCCAATTAACTAAAAAAAAAACACATAGGGGCAGAACACTCTGCTTGGACAAGTTTCTGAAAATAACCTCACCATCCTCTGGGAAATTATGGATTTTCTTTCCCCTCCCTGTGTATCTCACAATTACATTTTGCCACAAATATGTTATTCTCTTCTTATTACCTCACCATTCATGGATCTGGGAACCCCTTCTTTGAATCAGCAGAATCCAGGATTTTGCATATCTGCCACCGGAGACCAAGGGATTCAAGCTTGACAATTTATCAAAAGGATATTTCGGTTGCCAGAATGACCTTTTTAACATATAAATAAAATTATTTCATTTACTTGCTAAAAATATTTTGACAGATTTCCATTTCACTTAGAATAAGAACTAAATTTCTTATTATAGGCCAGGTGTGGTGGTGCACACCTGTTAATCCTAGCACTTTGGGAGGCCGAGGTGGGTGGATCACCTGAGGTCAGGAGTTCAAGACCAGCCTAGCCAACATGGCAAAACCCTGTCTCTACTAAAAAAAATAAAATACAAAAATTAGCCAGGTATGGTGGCATGCACCTGTAATCTCAGCCACTTGGGAGGCTGAGGCAGGAGAATCGCTTGAACCCAGGGACAGAGGTTGCAGTGAGCCAAGATTGCACCACTGCACTCTGGCCTGGGTGACAGAGGGAGACTCTTAAAAAAAAAAGAAAAAAGAAAAAAGAAGAAAAAGAAAAAATAAAAGTAAAAGAAAAAGAAAAAGAAAAAAAATTATTATAATCTGCCAAGTTATACAGAATCAACCTCCGTGGACACTATTCATCATCATTCACTGCATTCCTGTCACAGTGACCTCCTTCCTTTTATATTTAATTTTAATTTTTTATTTTTTAGAGAAAGGTCTTGCTCTGCCACCGAGGCTGAAGTGCCAGCAGTATGATCATAACTCATTGCAGCCTCAAACTCCTGGGCTCAAGTGATCCTCCTGCCTCAGCCTCCTGAGTTGCTAGGATTACCACTGTGCACCACCAAAGGCAGCTAGTTTTTTAATTTGATTTTTTTTTTGTAGAGACAGTCTCACTTTATTGTCCAGTCAGGTCTGGAACTCTTACCCTTAAGGGATCCTCCCACTTCGGCCTCCCAAAGTGCTGGGATTACAGGCATAAGCCACTGTGTCTTGCCCCCAGTGGCCTTCTTTATGTTCTTCAAGCAAGCTAAGCTGTTCCTGTCTCTAGGACTTTGCACTTGCTATTCTTCTACCTGCAACATGCCTGTTATACCTCCACCATATCATAGGTGTAACAGGCCTCTTGTCATTCGAATCTCAACTCAAATGTTACGTCCTCAAGAAGGAGACGGGTATCTCCACCACTTTACTCACTAGCATATTAGCATGTCACCCTCATTACTTTTCAAAATTATTTATATATTTGCTGTTTATTGTTTATCTGCCCATGACTTGTAAGGCAAACCCCAGAAGAGAATGCACCTTGTCTCTTTCATCCAGAACAGTGTCTAAGAAATAGTTAACATTCCAAAATTATTTGTTGAATGAGTGAATAAGGTAGATTGTTCACAGACGTGACTGTTGATAGTTTCTCTCATCCTTATATATCTATAACATTACTTCTATCAAGAAGTAGAGTCAGCTTTCTCCCCTTTTTAAGCTGAATTGGTCTTGTGATTTGCCATTGACCAAGAGTATGCAGTGGATGTGACATCGCACCAGTTCTGGGCCTACTCCTTAAAGGTCTTGTAGCTTCCACCCTTACTGTCTTTCAGTACTGAGCCACGGTGTAAAGAGTTTCAACCATCAGCTATAGGGAGGAGCCCTGAAGGATACAAGACTGAGAAGAGAAAACAAGAGACTCAATCAGCCATCGGCTATTCTAGCTAGCCCAACTTAGGCACCTGTCTTGTCAGTAAAGCTCTCTAGGATACTGCAGCTTCACTAAATTGTAGCATCCAACACCAAGTGGAACAGAGACAGAGCTTTTCTGCCGAGCATTGCCCACTTGCAGAATCTGAAAAAGTTGTTGTTTTAAACTAAAAACATTTGGATTGGGTTTGGTATGAAGCAATAGATACCTCGAACAGTCATTGATACTAGAAATTGGGTGTTGCTGCAACAAAAACCTAAAATATGTTTTGGGTATTAGTATTGGAACCAGGCAGAGTCTGCGCAGCCAGTGAGGAAACTATTAGTAAGAGCTTGACGAACAGGGGAAAAAAATTGCTATTAGAGGCTAGAGAAAGGTAAATGCTTATTAAACGGTGCTGGAAAAATTAACAAGACTATCGACTGCGGCAACTTGGAATGTAGAGAACATTCTTGGTGAACTTGTGGCCCTAGCTAAGGAGGTTTTCAGGCCAAATGCTGAATGTATTAATTGGCTTCTTTTATTTGTGCATATGTTAAGGTAGTACAAGAGCAACGTGACCTAAAAAAGAAACTGTTCCATTTTTAGAATTTTGAGAAACTCCATCAGCCCTAAGACAGTATCTCTAGCTGGTCAAAGAGTCTCGATGTAGGAAATGGCCATAGGAAAAAAAGACAAAATCCAGGGTGCTGACAAGAAAACATGGCTTAAAGGAAAAAGCCAAATGATGGGTATGAGTATACCACTCCTGTTAAGACTTCTGAAAGACCCAGCACCTCACAGAGTCTTCTGGCAATAGAAACCTTTTTTTATGATTTCTTCAGTCTGTTTATGCATTGGTGCGTTTTATGCAAAAATACATACATTTTATAAAAGAGATAATAAGGTCACATTTCATAAACTTTGGACAATATTTTATTGTCAGCCAATAGTTATCAAGAACTTGATTTGGAGATAACTGCTTACAGGGCACATCTGTTCTTACAGGTATCCTAAAATATATAAAATATTCCTCCATTCCCCTACATTAGCAAAAATCTGCTATAAGAACCAAATTATAAATGCCCATGGAGAAATAATTTTAATAAACATGTTTTGCAATAATGTCAGTGTCATATAATTAGCCATATATAAATATTAAAAGAGGGCACTGAAACTCATTATTGTCTCATGAAGTTCACTGTAGAGGATGTTGCTTATCCTATTATACGATATTCTATTATGAGGAGCCTATTGACATATTTCTTGCTAATTTTGGTACTAAAAATGAACATTTCTCCTACATAAGTCATTGTTTTTATGTTGTGGATGGGGCTGACCTACTTAACTATTGATCTGATTTTCTTTTTATAGAATAAGAGATGTAATAAGAGATGTAATAAGAATAAGAGATGTAATAGAATAAGAGATGTAGTAAGTATAGAATAAGAGATGTAGCTCCTCAGCAAAAAGTATATTTGCAGTCTTGAAATTTGTTTTCTGATCCTTGTTCTGAATTCATTTCTGTACCTCCACATATATTTTTTTCTCTCAGAGTAAATTTATGAATCCTTATAAACTATTTGTAATACTTTTTGTAAAAGGCATGGTTTTAATCAATTAATTGATCCTGTTTTCTTTTTCCATTTATCATTATGTAATTAAAATTGTCCTCAAATGTTAAAACTGTATAATATTTTCTTATATGAATGCACCATTATTTAATTAACCACACTCACATGGAGATAATAAATTGGTGTTCAGTTTTTACTGTTACACAATTTGTAATAAACAACTTTGCACTTAAGTTTGCTCTACATATCTGATTGTTTTCTGGGATTGAAATTGCCTGCATGAATGCTCCTGAAATATATTACCAAATTGCTTTAAAAAGACTACGACCGTTTGCATACTCACCATGTGTCTATCCATGTAGTATTCCTACACTTTCACAGAGAAATAACACTTGGTATGTACTATGGTCTAAATGCTTGTGTTCCCCCAAATTCATATGTTGACACTTGATCACCACTGTAATTGTATTAGGAGGTGAAGCCTTTGGGAGGTGATCAAGGCTCTGTCTTCATGAATAGGATTAATGCCCTTACAAAAGAGGTCCCAGACCTTAGCAGATAATTTATGGTCAAGTCTTCAAAAGCAATTGCAACAAAAACAAAAATTGACAAATGAGACCTAATTAAACTAGAGAACTTCTACACAGCAAAAGAAACTATCAAGGGAGTAAACAGACAACCTACAGAAAGGGATAAAATATTCACAAACTGTGCATCTGACAAAGGTCTGTTATCCAGAATCTATAAGGAACTTAAACAAGTCAACAAGCAAAAAACCAAATAAACAATTAAAAAAGGGGCAAAGGACATGAACAGATACTTCTCAAAAGAAGACATACAAGATGCCAACAAACATATGAAAAAATGCTCATCATCACCAATCATCAGAGAAATGCATATCAAAACCACAGTGAAATACCATCTCACACTAGTCAGAATAGCTTTTGTTAAAAAGTCAAAAAATAACAGATGTTGGTGAGGCCAAGGAGAAAAGGGAACACTTAATCACTGTTAATGGGAATGTAAATTAGTTCAGCCACTGTGGAGAGCAATTTGGAGATTTCTCAAGGAAGTGAGAGTTGAACCACTATTCAACCCAGCAGTCCCACTAATAGGTATATATCCAAAGGAAAAGAAATTATTCTAGCAAAAAGACACATACACCTATATGTTCATTTCAGTGCTATTCACAATAGTAAAGACATGAAATCAACCCAAGTGGCCATCGATGGTGGACTGGGTAAAGCAAAAGTGGTACATATATACCATGGAATACTATGCCACCATCAAAAAGAATGAAATAATGTCCTCTGCTGCAACATAGATGCAGCTGGAAACCATTATCCTAAGTGAACTAACGAAGAAACAGAAAACCAAATATCACAAGTTCTCACTTATAAGTGGGAACTAAACATTGGGTAAACATGGACATAAAAATGGGAACAACAGATACTGGGCATACAAGAGAGGAGAGGGAGAGAGGGTGCTAAGGGTTGAAATAAACTGCCTATTGGCGTACTACGCTCACTACTTGGGTTACAGATTCATTCCTCCTCCAAACCTCAGCATCATACAGTATACCTTTGTAACAAACCTGTACGCAATTCTAAATAAAAATGGAAAAAAGTAAAACAGAAGAAATATATTTACAATAGGAAAAAATATACATTTTAAATAAAAAGAAAACCTTAAAAATGAGGGAATATGATATGGTTTGGCTGTGTCCCAAATCTCATTTTGAATTGTAATTCCCACAATTCCCACATGTCACGGGAGGACCCTGGTGGGAGGTGGTTGAATCATGGGGCAGGTCTTTCTCATGCTGTTCTCATGATAGTGAATGAGTCTCATGAGATCTGATGGTTTTAAAAGCAAGAGTTTTCCCTGCATAAGCTCTCTCTTTTTGCCTGCCGCCATCCACATAAGATGCGACTTGCTCCTCCTTGCCTTCTGCCAGGATTGTGAGGCCTCCCCAGTCACGTGGAACTGTAAGTTATTAATTAAACCTTTTTCCTATATAAATTACCCAGTCTCAGATATGTCTTTATCAGCAGCATGAAAACAGACCAATACAGAATAGTAAATTATTTTTTACTTTATAAAGGAAAAGGACAAACTATACATTTATTTTAAATATTAAGGTCTCTAGTAATTTTAAAAGTGTTTCTTTTCATGTATAATTTTTTTTTTTTTTTTTTTTGAGGCTGAGTCTCGCCCTGTTGCCCAGGCTGGAGTGCAGTGGCCTGATCTCGGCTCACTGCAACCTCTGCCTCCCGGGTTCAAGAGATTCTCCTGCCTCTACCTTCCAAGCAGCTGGGATTACAGGTGCTTGCCACCATGCCTGGCTAATTTTTGTATTTTTAGTAGAGACAGTTTCAGCATGTTGGCCAGGCTGGTCTCAAACTCCTGACCTCATGATCCTCCCACCTTGGCCTCCCAAAGTGCTGGGATTATAGGCATGAGCCACCCCGCTCAGGCCTTTTCATATGTAACTTTTAAGAAGCACAATGTTATTTTATTTGTTTGTTATTTACACTCGTTGCACTATTTATTCTAAATACAAAGCAAACCTTGAGACATATAGAAACCTAGGCTTTGAGACCAGCCTGGCCAACATGGTGAAACTCCATCTCAACAAAATATACAAAAAATAGTCAGGCATGGTGGCACATGCCCGTAATCCCAGCTACTCGGGAGGCTGAGGCATGAGAATGGCTTGAACCAGTGAGGTGGACGTTGCAGTGAGCTGAGATCATGCTACTGCACTCCAGTGTGTGGCAACAGAGCAAGATTCTGTTTCGAAAAAAGAAAAAAGGTCGGGTGCGGTGGCTCACGCCTATAATCCCAGCACTTTGGGAGGCTGAGTCGGGTGGATCACCTGAGCTCGGCAGTTCGAGACCAGCCTGACCAACATGGAGAAACTCTGTCTCTAGTAAAAATACGAAATTAGCCAGGCATGTTGGCACATGCCTGTAGCCCAGCTACTCAGGAGGCTGAGGCAGGAGAATCGCTTGAACCCAGGAGGTGGAGGTTGTGGTGAGCCGAGATTGTGCCATTGCACTCCAGCCTGGGCAACAAGAATGAAACTCCATCTCAAAAAAAAGGAAGAAAAAAAAGAAAACTAAGCCATCTTTAATGATGATATTCATGTCATCACTGATAAAGTTCATCTTATAAAGGCTTTCGTTTGCATTCTGATTTCATGATTTTCATAATTATAACTAAACTGTGATTTGTTATTACCCACGGTCACGCGTTGGGCTTATATCTACAACTTATTAAATTTGGGTTTAGACATTTTTTAAAAAAGAGGCCCCAGACAAAGACTTCATGACTAAAACACCAAAGCAATGGCAACAAAACCCAAATTTGACAAATGGGATCTAATTAAACTAAAGAGCTTCTGCACAACAAAAGAAACTATCATCAGCGTGAACAGGCGACCTACAGAATGGGAGAAAATTTTTGCAATCTATCCATCTGACAAAGGGCTAATATCCAGAATCTACAAGGAACTTAAACAATTTTACAAGAAACAAACAACCACATCAAAAAGTGGGTGAAGGACATGACCAGACACTTCTCAAAAGTAGACAGTAGGCTATTTTTAATTTTCAAGCATCAGGATTACTCTTATCCAAAAACTCCAATGCTAAGAATTTATCCTAAGTAATCCAAAAATAGAAAGTATTTATGCAAAAGAAGACATTTATGTGGCCAACAAACATATGGAAAAAAGCTTATCCTCACTGGTCATTAGAGAAATGCAAATCAAAACCACAATGAGATACCATCTCACGCCAGTTAGAATGGCAATCATTAAAAAGTCAGGAAACAACAGATGCTGGAGAGGACGTAGAAAAATAGGAACACTTTTACACTGTTGGTGGGAATGTAAATTAGCTCAACCATTGTGGAAGACTGCGTGGTGATTCCTCAAGGATCTAGAACCAGAAATACTATTTGACCCAGCAATCCCATTACTGGGTATATACCCAAAGGATTATAAATCAGTCTTCTATAAAGATATATGCACACGTATGTTTATTGCAGCACTGTTCACAATAGCAAAGACTTGGAACCAACCCAAATGCCCATCAATGATATACTAGATAAAGAAAATGTGGCACATATACACCATGGAATACTATGCAGCCTTAAAAAAGGATGAGTTCATGTCCTTTGCAGCGACATGGATGAAGCTGGAAACCATCATTCTCAGCAAACTAACACAGGAACAAAAAACCAAACACCGCATGTTCTCACTCATAAGTGGGAGTTGCACAATGAGAATACATGGACACAGGGAGGGGAACATCACACACCAGGCCTGTTGTGGGGTGGGGGATTAGAGGAGGGATAACATTAGGAGAAATACCTAATTGTAGATGATGGGTTGATGGGTGCAGCAAACCACCATGGCACGTGTATACCTATGTAACAAACCTGCACGTTCTGCTCATGTATCCCAGAACTTAAAGAATAATAAAATAAAATAAAAAGAGGCCCCAGAGAGCTGCCTTGTACCTTCCACCATCTGAGGGCACAGTGAAAAGGTGCCATCTATGAACTGAGATCAAGTCCTCATCAGACACGGATTTGCCAGTGCCTTGACTGTTATTTTCCAGAATCCAGAATTTTCAGAAATAAATTTTGTTTATAAATCACTCCATTTATGATATTTTGTTATGACAGCCTGAATGGACTAAGACAGTAGGCTATTTTTAATTTTCAAGCATCAGGATTACTCTTATCCAAAAACTCCAATGCTGAGAATTTATCCTAAGTAATCCAAAAATAGAAAGTATTTATGCAAGTGTATATCCACTACAATAGTATTTATAATAATGAAAATGTCATAATGTAAATGTCTAACAATATTGAAATAGTTGTGAATAATATACCTGTAGAGTGAAATATTAGATATTTAAAAAGAGGCTTATAGAAGTTGTTAATGGTAAAATGTTAAGTTAAAATATATTAGAAAAAAGGGTATTTTTCAACTATTAATATGAAAACATTTCTGGTATATAATGTTGATAATATTAAGATAAAATTTTATTTTTTCTACTAAGCTTTCAAAAAGTAAAGAGAAGATTATTCACAAAATATTAGCCAGATTAACTCTTTATTAGTGGAGTTAGGAGTGCTTTATATTTTCTTCTCTGGGGCTGCCATTATTCTTTTATTTTCACCATGCTGTACTTCTCCTTGTTTCCCTGTAAAACTATTCTAGATTAAAGTAGAGCTATATATTTAAAAATATAATGCTTTTGTTATTATTGAAATACTTATTTTTAATTACATTGCCAATATTTCAATCTCTACTCATAATACTTTTAACATTACTTAACAGAAAGAATTTAAAAACATTAAGCAAGAGAAGAATCCTATTTTATAAATTCACTTTTTCCAGTGCAAAAGTTTAATACAGTTTTACTTTAGTACCAAAGAAGAAGAACAAAAAAAATGTTTTAAGATGGAAAGTATGGAAGAGAAAGATATCTAAGGTGCCCAATTTTTGACTTTGTAACTTAATAGAAACAATGCAAACTCCTGTGGCCAAATAATCTATGTTGTAAACTGTTACCACATCAATCAAGGTTATGCCTCCTCAGCTCACTGCATCCTGTCAGTTGAGTCTGAATTTCTCAGTGAAGATGGCTAGTAAAATTGTGACATCTACCTGTCAAATGATGGCTTCTCCCCACAGTCAAAGGCATCTTGGAGCTCCTTAACAAGATTAGCCTGGCCTGGCAGTCGAAAGAGACCCTCTTCTTTCAGCCCCCTTTGTCGGATAAAGTCCACGCACTGCTCCACCAACATCGGAGCCAGACGGTTCCCATATCTCTTCTCATAACGAACAGTATCCTCCAGTTTCTGTCCAAAAATGCCTTAAAAAAAAAGGATCACAGTAAACTTGGGAAATTTATCTCTTCCCACTTTGTTGTTGTTGTTGTTTTAATTCAATATAACAGAAAAACAAAGATTGGAATGCTAGCAAGCACTTAACATTCAGTATTTCACATTATTATACAATCAAATTCATTATATACAATTCCTCAAATGGTATGATTTACCTTATGCTGCCTGTTTCTTGTATTCTATGCTTAGCACAAACCAAAATAGAAACACTGAGTTTGAGATATCGATTTTGAAATAAGAAAAACTGTAATAAATGTAACTTGAGTTTGGGGTTTTCATTTATTTTTTTCCTTTTAGGAAGGGAATGGTATTCAATAGCTTAAAAGCAGAAATATGCTGCAGAAAATAGTCAAATTCTACCTTTATTACAGTTTTATATTTATGTCCAATTTGCATTTAAATCCTATTTCTTTTTTCCCCTTTTGTTTTTACTCAAGTTGTGATGTCATGACTGTAATCATGGTGATAAAACCAGGAAAAGAAACGCTGAATTTTCTCCCATATAAAATATTTCAGACAATGTTTGCTTGTCTTAAACTATTAACTTATT
The DNA here is from genome assembly GCF_000001405.40 of Homo sapiens. NCBI lineage: Eukaryota > Metazoa > Chordata > Mammalia > Primates > Hominidae > Homo > Homo sapiens. Next base: position 85,941,484 of record NC_000004.12, on the reverse strand, counting down.
TGAAAGTGAAAAATGGAAATTTACAAAGCAGAGCACACTAGAAGTGGAGAGGTGGGTCACAGTGGCTTGCCCTAACAGGTAGGGTATTTTATCATGTACATTGTTTAGAATTGGCAGTACAGGGTGGCAATAAAAAGAAGGCCAAGTTTTAGTTAGATTTATTAATGATTTTACAACACCTACAAACCATACATTCCTTGGTGTATACACCTAGGCCAAAAACAGCCACTATTTCACCCTCAGTACTCCACTAATTAAGAGATAATACTTTTGAAATATATTAATATTAGGTAGTAGCTTGGTAAAAATTATCAACTTATGAGAAAGAGGGGAAAAAACAGCCAAAGCAGATGTGACTCCACTGTTCCCAGATGGAATGAATGTCATGAAATTATTTTAATGGTCTGAGTTTCATGAAAGGGGAAGAAAAGTAAGTGGTGCATGTTGAAATTAGGTAAGACTTCAGAATGTGTGGGGAATTATTTAACAGGCATTAGATTAAGGATTTGATCATACCAACAGATGCTTTGCCTCCCCACCTGTAAAATAATTTCTTTATGGACTCAGTAGTGCAAAACCGTCACATTTCAAGCAATAACGAATTGTTACCAAAGAAAATATTCTTAGCTCAGGTAGAAACAATAACAGGAAACACAACTATTCTACACCTGGTATCAAATTTAGCACTAATGAAATACATATATTCTATTTAGGAAATAATGTTTAGTAACTTAGTATCGATATTCAAGTATATAAAGCAGAATTAGAAATAGTGTTTTCTAAGGGCAATAAAGATTAGAGCAGATAACAGGTCTAGTTAGCTTGGTTTGTAGATTTTAGAACAAGTAGATCCTTGATAATGGTGTATCAAACATTATTCACTAACTCCAACAGACACTCACACCCCATTCTCCCTTGACATTTCCATTGTAGAAGCTGGAAAATTAAATACTTCTTCCATTTCCCTTGCAGTGGGGTGGTCATGTGGCATAGTCCTGTTCAATGTCAATAAGTCTTCTTGTAACCTTTAGGAAGACTTGCTTTTCTTGATGAAAAGGGAAGACATCTGTAATTGTCAGTCACTCCTTTTGCCTGTCTTCAACTTGGGCATGATACTGGCTCTTGTTACAGTCATCTTTGGTCCATTAGGCAACAATCACAAGGGAAAGGCTAAAAGATTAACAGACATGCTGAGGCTGAAAATTATTGAACTACTGATCCAAAACTGGCAGCACCTTTGTCCAGATAGCTTTTAATGTGAGAAAAACAAGCTGATGTGTGTTTAAGCCAGTTTTCTGTTCCTTCAGCAAAACAAAATTCTAATCCATTCAATGGTAGTAACAACTTTTGGAGATATTCTAGTGTTTTAATAATAAGGTTTACAAACTGGTTAGGTTGGAGAATATTGACCCTTTCTGTGGAGAGCTTTGAAAACAAACGTGATGCTTATTTGCCTCTACTGTTTGAACTCTATCCTGACAAAATTAAGTAAATAACCTTTTAAAAGACTTGTAGATCATTTAAGAAAATAATATGTTGACATTTGGGAATAAATTTTATGTATGTGTGATTTTTTTTTTTTTACTTTCGATTTTTGCTTTGGATTGATGAATATATTACCTAAGGGTTCTCTCCAAATCCAACAGAAAATCTACTAAGGATGTTGCAATTCAATGACCATGTGTGCTACAAACATGAACCAAACTTCCAATATTTGGGTTTGTACGGTAATGAAAAACAGTCAAACATTCTTTTCTCAAAGCTTTCGGGATTTTTTTTTCCCCAACAACCCAAGGAAGCGATGAAGAAAGGGATGTTTTGCTTTAGACGTGAATTCGGTTTCCTTTTTACTTTCTTGTACATGCAGGTTTGCCTTTATAATAAAATGAGAATTTACTTTAAAACTATAGTGAGAAACTTAAATTCATTATTTATTATATTCTGAGTCCCTCACAATATTCTCTCATCTTCATAAGAAACACATAAAGTAACTATCATTCTCCCTTTTATACATGGAAAATTGGGGCTCAGAGAGATGAAATAATTTGTCTGAGGTTAGTTACAGAGCACCAAGTGGCAGAATGGAAGTCCACATCCAGATTTATTTAGCTTTAAAATCTTTGCTTATTCCTGAATATCAGTCCTTTTCCTTTTTATTTAATCACAGTCATGAGTCCTCATTTTCTCATAATTAAAAATATTAGTACATTCTACAACTGAGAAAAATCATGTACATTTTTTGTGCTTTTAAAAAGTGATAATAGCTAAGCTGTACTTATGTATGCCAGGCATGTTACAGGCAGTTTACCTGCATTTCTCACATTTAAAACTCATAACATCCTGTGAGGTAGGCACCACCATTCCTTGCATTTTAAGGAGGAGGAGCTTGAAGCACAGAAAGGTCAAGTAACTTGCCAAATGTCACACAGCAGTAAATGGTGGAGCTAAGGCTTGTTCGAGGCGGTGGGATATCAGAGCCACTCAGTGGCTATTACAGAATACTGTGTAGTATGCACAATGGCTGAAAACAGCAATGGAGGAAGACACCTGCCATTTATTAGCTTTCTGACCTCAATTCCTCCCATCACATTAGGATAAATAATTTGTGCTGAGAAAATATAAATTGGGAATTGGGGGAGGTCAGAAAAAAAAAAAGAGAAGGAAAATACTCTGGAGCTTCAATGAGCATGCTGCCCCCCAAAGCAATTTCCTTTATATAAAGCTGATGCCTTTAATACAGCAGTATAATATATAAAAAAGTTTTAGGGCATGTAGACATGTACATATGATTTAAAATTCCTGTGGAAAAATGAATTTTCTGCTGTAGAACTGGTCTTGCAAAGAATGAGTAAAGAATTTTAATAGACGTGTACTCCCCATTCTGTAGCACTGGAAATAGAGTGTGCCAAACACTTCTGGCTTAAAATGGTAGATGTGGGTTGCCCTTCTGCATAAGAATGCTCCTTGGGAGGAAAGCTATTGATGGGAAAAATCATTTTAAAAAAACAGATTTATTTAAAAATTTCCTTGAGGGAGCAGTGAAACTTTAAATTTTAAATTAACATAAAAGCACAAAGGTCATGTGCTGCCCCCAGCCAGCAGCATGAAGAAAAGACACACTATTTACAATATTCCCTGGGATGTGGGTCATGCAAACAGTTCCAGCTATGTCCATTTAAACTCCCAGCAAGTTTTCACACACTCTGACAAAACCGTCCCCAGTATTTCTGGGCGGTGATGAATACCATGCCTACCTCCCCTCCCTGTGAAAGTACATTGGTGTGTCATAAAGCATCACCGAGGATGTGACTTTTCACTAGACTGAGAACGTAAATCACACAGGTGAATTTATTATACTGGTAGGTGGCTGTTTCCAGTGGCGCACACAAGAGAGAAACCACCACAGCCTTCAGGGTTTGTAAGGGTCCCCCTTTACATGTGATTTATAGAGCCAATAGCTAGAGGCTGCCTATGAAGTGAGTGACTGTGATGCTATAGATACATTCATATTTCATTCTTCTTGAAAATAAATAAGCAAAGATGAATCTAAACCTTCTTAGACTCTGTGCCCTGTAACTACATATTCTCTTTGCTCCTCAATTCCCAGTGAAGTATGTGACTCTGTCTCCTTTTCATCATTTTCCATCCACTTGCTAACTTTTGCAATTTGATATTTGACCCAGTTAAAACAATAAAATGGCTTTTTTCTACAGTCACCAATAACTTCCTAGTTGGTAAATCATTGACAGCCAAATTTGTTCTTTGTATTACTTCATGTCTCACTCCCTTTAAAACTGTCAGTCTCCTTCTTCTTCCTGACACGTCCCATGTTACATGATTTTTGCCTCTCAATGCCCTTGTCAGTCTCTTTCTTGACTATGCTAACTACTACACTCTTTAATAGTTGTCTGGGTTCTGTCCTCAGCTCCGTTTTTACTTTACCTGATACAGTTACTCTACTAGACTCCACTTAATTTCACTACATATTAATTATTCTCAGGTTTGTATCTCAATTTGGGCTATTGCTATAATCTCCAGCATTGGATTTCTAGGTGCCCAGTAGAACCTTCAATATGGATAGCTCAATATTTTCAAACTCAAAATTTCTAAAGCTGAATAAGTCATCTCTTTTTTAAAACCTGTTCTGTGTCTTTTAATCCTAATTTTGGTTATCAGTACAAGCTATCCCCCCAAAACATTGAAGTGCCATCTGAGAATCAACCTACATTCCTCTTCCTTCAAGCTATTCATGTAATCACCATGCTGGTCACCTCCAAGCTCCTTACCACTGCATTAGATTAGATATTCAGTATTTCTTCCATGAGTTTTTGAAGAGCAGAGCTCCCAATCCAGCCAAGTGCTGCCATGGTGGACTTTGTAATATTTCAATCGGATCATGCCGCTCTTCTGCTTTACCTCTTCCAATGGTGCCCACTGGCTTGTCTTTGCAACCACATTCCTTTTTATAAAATAAAATCCCCACAAGCTGATCTCAGCCTCTTCATCTTCCATTCAGTCAACAATGTTTAGGTGGCATCCATTGTGTGCCAGGCACTGTGGCATCTCCACTCTCATTTCTTCTGCTTCCTCACAAACAATATGCTCTCAAACTATGCTGAACTATGTATTGCTTGTCATGTCTTCATGCCTCCTTCTAGAAGGTAGGTCCTGCCTTTGTAAGTCAGTGTAGGAAACCTTATCCTGTAAGAGTCAACTCATACATCTTCTGTGAAGTCTTTACTGACATTCCATTGCCTCATCCCCTACTCTAGACCCAAAGCTTGATATGTTTCTTTATTCCTTAACATTTTGCATGGAAATTATTTATTTAGATGCCTAACCTGTGCTGGACTAGTCAAAAGAGGATTTTATTTTTACATTTATTATAATGAAATAATTGTTTTACATTTATTATTATTATAATAAATATTAGAAAGCAGCTACATACTATATATCTATCCTATGAGCTTCGGAGAGGTTTAGGCAAGGTGCCACAGACACAAGGACCACACTGGGATGGGTCCCAGGTATAAAGGACTCCAAAGCTTTAATTCTATTTTACCACAGTCAAGGCCTTTTGTTTATGTCCCTGGAACTTATCAAGATGGGTGACGCACAGATGCTCCATAAACATTTATGGAATAAATGCATGCATGGAAATAAAACACTTTACCTCCCCAATTATAGAAAATAAATGAATAATTCCAATGTCAAATGAAACTCATTGATAGTTCGTGGGTCGTGCCATTAATTTTGAGTTCCTTATCCCTTCTTGTCTGCAGATCACATACTCAGCCATAGTGGGAATTTGCCTTGACTTATCCTCTGCTTACTGCAACTCTGCTAGCAGGATAAATCCTGGTATCACCAGGATGGTAAGAATTTTCCATTAAAATGAACATTCACCCATAGCAAATGGGCAAATCAAAGTAAAATACATCCATTTTAGTACAGAACTAAGAAACAAAGCAAGGCAAAGCTTATTTCACTCTATCACAAACTTTTTAAGTAGCCACAAAATATTATATAGATAGAAATCCTTTACTCCAAGGAGCTCAGGGTCTATCGTAACCAGTGAATGTTGATAGAATCTTTACTCTTTTCAAAGTCAGAGGGGGGAAGGAAGGAGAATAATAAATGCTAGGAAGGATTAAGAAAGTGTTACAAGGTGTACATAGCGACCCAGTGGACTAGGTCTTTGACCATTGGAGCAATTATACACACTAGGTTCCAAGTCAGGCAAGTTGCATGTATTTCTTTATTTGGCATTCACAGACATCCTACAAGGGGGTCCCTTTTCTACAAACAGGGAAACAGATTTGAAGATGGCAGGTGACCTGTCTGAGGTCACACATCTAGAAAGTGGCAGATTTGGGATACAAACACAGCTCCATATGATTCTAAAAGTCTTTCATTTTTCACTATGTTATGTTAATTGAATTCAAACATAATTTTTTCCAAGGCATTCTCACTATTGTCTTAGTATCACATGGGAGAAAATGTCTTTTTGTAACTTTCAAAGACCAAACCCGATTTCCTTTAGTTTATGTGAATCACTGGGTTTCCACAGGAGCCTGTGGTCAGCCTTTTGTTCAGGGGCACCTACAACTTAATAGATAATTTGGTGTGGTGCTTATCACAAAGTACTTATTTATGTTTCGTTATTCCAAGGAGTCTGTGAATTCATAGATTTGAGACAACCTGTTTGTTTACCTTCTCATTCCCAGCACCACTTGGTAGAGGCTCCATAAAACATTGATATATGAATTAATGAGCTAGTCACTTATACGCAGTTTAAAATTATATAGATTTGGATAGTGGTGTTTTGTTGGGCAAATCCATTTTCATAAATGTGATTACAACATATATAACATACAACAAATTTTAAAGAGGATGTTGGTCTTGTCCACCACCACTGTAAAGACATTCTATTGCCTATGGATTCTGGGAATAGATAGTAACACTGTACCTCACCAGTTTGTAATCGATCTTGAATCCCTGATTGAATAGACCTATTGCCATTCTCCACTTTGGGAATGAATATGTGTGTGTGTGTGTATGTGCACGCATATGTGCATGTGTGTATACTACAAACGCGTATAAAGCACCTCAAGGTGGCTATTAGGATACAGTGGCCAAGAATCAGCATATGTAAAATGTAAGAGCTGTCGGCTGGGCGAGGTGGCTTGCGCCTATAATCCCAGCACTTTGGGAGGCCGAGGTGGGAGGATTACTTGAGGTCAGGAGTTTGAGACGAGCCTGGCCAACGTGATGAAACCCCATCTCTACTAAAAATACAAAAATTAGCTGGGTGTGGTGGCGGGCACCTGTAATCCCAGCTACTCAGGAGGCTGAGCTAGGAGAATCACTTGAACCCGGGAGGCGGAGGTTGCAGTGAACCAAGATTTCACCACCGCACTCCAGCCTCGATGACAGAATGAGATCATTTCAAAACAAACAAACAAATAAATAAATAAAAATAAAACATAAGAGCTATAGAGTTAGGAGCATATAATTGGTAAACAGAGAAAGCTTGCTGAAGAAATTAGAGTCAGTGATGCCTTGAAGAGAGCATAAAGTTGAGATAGACAATGGAGAAGAAAGCATCATAGCAGAGGAAACAAAGTGAAGAGACATGAAGAAGTGGTGTAGGACATGTGTTTAGGAGAAAGGATGAAATAGTCTGGGGAATTAGGGGGCTTATACTCCAGGGAATTGTTAGAATTTGTTAGAGGGCCTTTATAGTTACTTGAAATAGGACTTCCTCCTGTGAGCAATAGGGGATCATAAAAATCTTTGAGCTGTGGAAAGTTGCTTGACAGCACTGTTTTAGAAATACAGATAGGGAAATGCTTCACAAGATGGCTTGTGTGTTGTAGGAATTTGTGAAGAGTGCTGGGGGTGCACAGAGGTGAGGATGAATGCTGTCTTGAAAAGCCACTACTTAGGTTAAAGTAAGTTGCATACATGGAGCAATAAAGGCACAAAGAGCTAAGGTGATGGAAATGGAAATGGAGCTGGAAAGACATAAAGAAGAAGCAATGGTGAATGATCACTAAGTGGCTGCTGTGTAGGAAAAGCCACTGAGGACCTGATGATAACTTATCTCCAAGAAAGGAGTAGTTCACGAAAAAATCAAGATAGAGGTGGACTTTAAAAATCTAATTTAGCATCCTGGGATCACAACAATCAAGGAATCTAGCCTCTTACGACTAGACCCAAGTGCTCAGACCACAGTGTTATGCATTCCCAGGTAATCAAGGGATCGGTTACACTGCTAATAGTCATATTATAGAGGTAAAGAAAAATTGTAGTTTCAAAATCAACAGGGTAAAAAATTCACTTATAATCTTTATCTCAACGGAACATAAACTCAAAGCACCACAATCCCGAGCTTCCTGCCTAATAGATGTTTCTTGGTTCCTGGATTTTTCAAACCACTGGGAAATCATTTTCAGTGACCTTAATTAGTATCCAAACAAAGAATGAGAGTTGAAAGGGCAGCAAAGGACAGAAGAGGTCTGGAAGAGAAAGGTGCTCTGAGAGGTGAGTTTCAGCTTGCACAACATGCAAGCTCTAATGTAACCAGGCCTCTGGAAACTTTTACTCAACTCCACACTTTATCCTGACAGCATTTCTAAAACCGCTAGAAATGCAGCATGTCTCCTCTGCTGTTGGCCTACTTTTGACAACAGTAAAAAAATATATATATTTTACATGTGGATCAGGAAAAGTAGCCACGTCAACATTTTTTTACCTCTAGGCATTTTTCCTGGCTTCACACATTCTCCTTATTGCATTCCTTAAAATGACTTAAGCTGATGTTCTCGGACAGGCTTGGGAGAGGAACGCAGAAACCCAGGCCACTTCTTGAAACACTTAAGTACCCAGGAGATTAAATAAAGCACAAAAGAACACACTCTTCTTAAGTTGGCATGGTTTTAGGAACCCAGAATTGAGAGGCGAGTTCATTCTTTTCAAGGCCAGACCTTCAAGAAAGATGTAAAGCTCCTGTGCGTCATGCTGCTGCTGCCCTGAGTGATGACTGCAGCAAGAGCAAGGTGGCGGCGGGTTGGGGCTGCAGCAGCTGAGCGCTCGTGCTCCCAGGACCCCACTGCAGAACTGTGGGCACGCAGCACTTCAACAGAGAGAGCCTGGGATGCAGCGGGCTCCAGAGAATGGAAAGGAAGCGTAAAACCGCTGAACGCTTCCTGCACCTCCTCTCCTTTCTCCTTTCGACAGAATACAGCTTTGTAAATAAAAAAAACTCTTCATCCTGGTTCAAATGCTGGACATTCCCCAAACTACTAAGGCTTTGAAGAGAAAAGGACAGCCTTTAAAAATAGCCCCCCGGGAGAGGATAGATGGAAGCTGTGCCCTACCCAGTGTTGGCCATTTGCCAGTCCATGGGAATGTTCTTCCCAGGCACTGCCTTCCCCGCTTAGTATTTAAGGAGAAAGGGAGGAAGGCATCGGGAACAGCAGTGTGTTCACAAGGATTCTATGGGAGACGGGAAGGTGACAAAGGCCAAAAAAAAAAAAAAAAAAAAGTCCTTTAAAGATACATTAATAATCCTCCAGACATCTCATGTTACAAATGGACAGCAGTAACCCTGAAAAGTCGTGTTTGCATAGAACCAATTTAGTTTCTGATGGGCTGGGGAACTAGAAGGGGAAACTATCCTTTAAGCAATTTGTCCCTGAGCCTTTAAAAATTTCTGTCATTGTTAATTTCTCTACCAATGATGCAATCCTATGGTATTCAGAAAATCCCTATAGATCTATAAAAATATGAGACATGCATCTCTCATTTAATTATCTTTGTGGATGAGATAGGAATGTAAATTAACACCTGAAATCCTTGCTGATAATATATGATGGTGATTGTTGCCAGGTCTTAGCTACGCAAAGGAAAGCACTCTGCAGGAACAATGGTTTCCTTAAAAAAAAAGTTCCCACTGTATTTTGTAATTTTGATTTTTCTTATTTTTTTTTGTTAGTTACTAACTAGGGAAGATTAATTAATGGGTGGCAAATCAAAAAAAAGATGTGGGGGAGAAAAAACAACCCTAGATGTCATTCAACTCAGCACCTGACTAAATTATTAGCTTACTGCACATGTCATTAACATTATAATTACTTAGTTTCTACTTAAACAGCCATTCCATTTAATTATTCTTATTTTAAAGCAAAAAGATATTTATAAATATTTTGATCCATAAACTTTTCCTGAAAACATTTTAGTTTACCTATTTTGTATTCTCTAACTCCCCCCAAATAAGTCAATTCAGAAATGTCTTAGTTTCTTTTACTGATCATAAGTTGTTCTATGTTCTCACCCCTGTTCCTGATAGTTCTATCTTTGCCCTCTCCCAGTGCCACCTTGTGATATATTTGAAATGTCAGGGTGACTCCTATTCCCAGCAAATATTCATCAATATGGTTGAAAGCCTCTTGAAAATGGGTCAGCACGAATAATTCGATTATCAAATTTTTCTCAACAGGGGAGGTGAGGCAAGCACAGGCAGCCAGAATCAAAACAAGGTGACGGGAACACAGCACAGGGATTTGCGAGGGCCCTGTTTTGAGGGGTCAGAACATGGCTGCTTGATTTGGGTCTAGGAAGGGCCCAAGATCACTCTGGCCCCTCCTCTGAGGACGGTCAGCCCAGCTTACTTAGTCCCCTGTCAGTCAAGGTGATCCCCATAGGATCACTATTCTTTAAGCCCCACCTACCCCACCTATTCACAGACAATAATATACACATTTAAATGAACCTCAGAAAATAAGTATAGACAAGCAAGGATACGCACAAATCACTCTTGTACAGTCCTAAGCTCTTGGTTTCCAAACTCCCATTTTATCTGAGCATAAACAGACCTTAAAGCCTAAGATAATATTATTTATATTTATAAAAAGGACATGAACATATTATCTACCTACCTTTCCGAAAACTAAAACACCGTTTGATTCTTCTGTATGTAGTTTTAGGGATGAAAGGAGTTGAGGCTAAGGCACCAGCCGGGCACCCCCCAGAATTCCGGTCTTCAGGCATCGTACAGGCCTGAAGTTCTGAACCCGGTTTTGGCTTCCTTTAAAACCTGCCTCTGAGCGAAACCCAACAGCCACTCCTCATGCTTGTTTACTTGTTATTTTTGAAGTGCTGATCCCTAGAATTTGAAGGTTTTGATCATCCAGGTCCTGGCTTAGGGATAAGTTACCACCTCTCATTTACTCCTGTTTAGCAAAAAAAAACTTCCTTTTCTCTTGCCTAATCCAGGGAGTTTTTAAGGTTTTTTTTTTCTTTTTTTTAAGTTTCTGCAGACATTCCAAAATGTCACAGGAAAAGAACTGCAGCAAGCAAGCTACCATTCCCATTCAAACAGCAGGAATTGGTTTTTGCATTTTTTTGTTTTTATTAAGAACTGTCTTCTCAGCTGGACTGAGATTCCTCTGGAAAGGTCAGCAAATAGCTCTGTGCAAGAGGAAAGAGGAACAATGACAAAAAGTCCCCTGAGGAATATTTCAGGACTGTCCTTGCTGGCTCCTTTCATCTGAGCAAGAGGGGAGGAAAATAATGGCACCTTCTCCAGAAAGCATTTCAGTGCATGATAGATTTCTTTCAAAGGACCCCCCTGCTTCTTTTATAGCACCCCCCATCCTTTGATGCTCTCTGCAGGTTTCTCCCCTTTCCTTTCTGTCTTCAAACTCCCGAGAGAATCACAACGTCAGAACAGTCGAGTGCCCATTCCAAGAGGCTCTTTGGATCTGTGGGGGGAGGCAGCTTTGCAGGGAGCATCTCCTCCCCCTCCTCCTGCTCCGTCTCCCCTTTTCTCAATGAGAACTGGGAGGGAGCTGGCAGGGCTGCGGTTGCTCCTCACCAAGGCTGTGGCTGCGGCTGCTTCCAGTGCCCGCCGGTCACATTCAGCAGGTGCAGTCACAACAGGATGAGGGGAGGAGGGAGAATGCCACGCTACGGTACAAACTCCTTTCTTTTTCTTTTGACTTTGTGTTGACTTCCCAGCTCTTGTCTTGTGTAGCACTTTTACAGCTGGCTGGCTCAGCCCCTCCAGAAATCACAGGGCACCAAACCAACCCCCAGGGGGTAAACTTTTTGCCCCTTCATACCTGCATTTATTCCCCTCCCATACAAGTTTTACTTTCTTTCAAATGATTTGTAATTGAATTCATTTGTGAGCACTGATTTAACATGCATACCCTGAAAACATATTTATACATGTGTATGTGTGTGTCTGTAAAACAGAAAAATGTTTAAAATCCAGTGGCAAAGAGTCTGTGGGTAAAGCTGCAAACACATCAACACATATTTGTATGTGTATTTACACACACATATATGTTTCTCTAGGCATGGTTTGCAAACCAATTCTGTTTTCAACATTCTTCCATGCTCTTGCCCGTACTTTCTGCACCCCAGCCCCCATGTCCACTAAGTCTCTCAGTCCTACTCACTGAACAATTTACTTGCTGGGTTAATCATTCATCCACCTGGTTGTTCCATGAACTGATTTGGAATGCTAGTGCCTTAACCCCAACTGACCCCCAAGGCCTCTGTGTTCCTTCCCAGCCATTTGGCAGAAGCTTTACAAGACCATGAGGAGTATTAAAAAGGTCTTTCCATTAAAAACATCATTACTCTGACTAGCATGCCCATGTAGGTAATCTTTTGTCATTGAAAGGATTATTATTATTTAGTTCTGCCCTGTGGTTCAAATGGTATTTTACCTTCTGTGTCACAGCACGCTGCTAAGAAAATAAAGAACCACAAAGTGTAACTCAGCACCACGAAGACAGAGACAGTGCTGCCCTTCAAGCACTTCAGCCAATAGAAAAATCCACTGACCTGAACACTGATCTACAGGGAACTCCTGTAATCACAGGATTTTCACAGGAAGTGAAAGCATTTTTTTCTTCTAATTTTCTTATTTCACAAGTGAGTAAAACCAAAGGCAAGGGAAGTAAAACTACATATCCAAGATTGTGCACTTGGTCTGTGCACGTTGCCTGACCACGTTGCCTCTTAATTAACCTCTGTCTGCCTGCATACCAATTACTCATTGTAAGGATTATTCACAAATAGTATTCTTACTGCCTTGCTGGGTCTCTGAATCAACTCTTTTCATTAGGAGGCAGAAATATACAGGAAAGACCTGATTTTGGCAGTAGCTAACATTAGGCTAAGCAATCAGAGCTACAAGAACTATTGGGCTGGGCACAATGGCTCACACCTATAATCCCAGCACTTTGGGAGGCTGAGGCGGGTGGATCACCTGAGGTCAGGAGTTTGAGACCAGCCTGGCCAACATGGTGAAACCCCATCTCTACTAAAAATACAAAAAAAATTTAGGTGGATGTGGTGGCAGGCGACTGTAATATCAGCTACTGGGGAGGCTGAGGCAGGAGAATCACTGGAACCAGGGAGGCAGAGGTTGCAGTGAGCCGAGAATGCGCCATTGCACTCCAGCCTGGACAACAGAAGGAGACTCCGTCTCCAAAACAAAACAAAACAAAACAAAAAAACTATTAATGAATTTTCACTCTCCTCAGATCTCAGATTCCGGACTAGACACTTCCATAAATATTGCCTCAAAAACAATTGAACAGAAACCCAGTATAAAAATACACAAGGAAGGACGGGAGGAAAGGAGGGAAGGAGGAGGGAGGAAGGAAGAAAGGAAAGGAGAGTGCGAGGGAGGGATGGAGGAAGGGAGGTTGGGAGGGAGGAAGAAGGGAAGGAAGGAAGGAAGGAAGGAAAACGAAACCTTCCCAAAGCTAAATAAATGTTTGACATTCAGATTTTTGAATTTGACTTTTATGCAGAAACCATGTGCCTCTCAATTAGCATTATTACTAGAGGAGCAACTGTGCATGGGTTTTCAGCAGGTAGCACAAAGTTGAGCTATGTAGATTCAACACTTTTCACGTTTCCCTTGGTTCCCTGCCCCATATGAGTATTTTATAAATTCATTTTCATTTGAAGGAAAGGCCTATCATTCCAAAACCCTACATTTTATTTACATTTCCACCTAACAGTTTTTAATTTCTAGGAGACTGAAGAACTAGACAAGCTCCTCAGGTGTCTCCTATATTTTAATCTAATGTCTATTATTGTAATGGCAAAGAGGGAATATTTTGCATATATGTGCAACCTGAATAAAGATAAGCTTCAGTGCCTCATGAAAAACTTTAGCTTTTTAAAAACACAGGTTAAAAAATTGCCACAATGAAATGCCCTCTTTGTAACAGATACATTTAAAACATATCCAAAGGTGGTATACTGTGATTGATAAATCAGAGTGATATGTCACCTCCTCTTCTAAATTTCCTTACAGATACCATCTAATCAAGTGCTTTTCATTTAGTATTAACAGGGCCTGGGTTTCATAACTAAGATAGGAAGGGAAAGTGCATTCTCTTATGAAGGGTGATTATGACAATTCAGAATTTTTTAAACAGCTTTATTGAGATATAATTCCCATACCATAGAATCCCCCAGTTTAAAATGTACAATTCAATGGTTTTTAGTATATTCACAGATACTTGCAACCATTACCACAGTTAATTCTAGAACATTTTCATTTTAAAAATAAACCCTGTATCTTTTGGCTATCTCTCCATCACCCCCTCATCCCCCCATCCCAGCTCTAAGCAACCACGAATCTATTTTCTGTCTCTGTACATTTCCCTGTTCTATACTTTCATATGAATGGAATCATAAAATGTGCTCTTTTGTGGTTGGCTTCTTTCACTTAGCATAATGTTTTCAAGCTTCATTCGTGGTGTTATATGTATCAGTACTTCATTCCTTTTTATGGCTTAATAATAATCCATTCTATGGATACTTCACATTCTGTTTATTCATTCATCTGTTGATGGACATTTGGGTTGTTTCAGATTTTTTTTTCTAATTGCTCGATGGTATCAATTCTAGTACTTTTGAATGACTCATAAAACTATATTAATTCTAATTATTGTATGTTTAAAAACTTTTATTATTTTTCATATACTGAAGAATATACGATCAATAAGGCATGGACTTATAATTGTGGGTTCTTTACTACCACAGTAGAAGTAATAGATCACACTATTTTGCTATAAAGCAGGAGGAACACATGGGTTTTCTTCTTACTTCTGCTTCTCACAGTGTGACACTTGGCAAGTTTTTCATCCTCCTTGGGTCTTAAAGACTTAATCCACAAAATGTGAGGTTGAACTAAAACAGTGGTTTTAAAATATTGCAAATCGGCAGAAAAGTTAATTTCAATGAAATGTTAAGTGGAAACGTAATACACAGTGTAACATAAGTAAAAGGGTTTTTGGGTCATATAACTTTATTGTTTAAAACTAAAATTTATAAGATTTATTTAAAATTCAATCAATAACAGAATTTATTAATATTAATAGGAACATTTGAAATCTTAGATTAATATATCATCTGAAACCCAAGATTATGGCTGACAGTTGGGATCTCTTATCAGTATTAACATTCTATTTTGTTTTGTGTGCTCTATTAACTTTAGCAAACTCTGATATTCAGAGAAATCACAAAGGATTTCTTACAAATTAAATGAATACTTTAAAAGCTTGCCTTGCAGTCTCATAATACTTATTAAACAAAGAGGGCAGGAGAAGATTTATTCTTTGAAGCATTGTTTCTATTATGAGTGCTATATGCTAAAATACATCTCTTTAAATGTAAATTCAAATCAAGCATTTGTAAAATCCCTGAAGTAGGTCTCATATAATAAAGTTTATAGACCAATCAACTATTTGAGTGTCCCTTCCAGGTTCATGAATTTGAAGATTCACATATACAGCTCACCCAGTCCCACTGGAATTATTTCTGAGATTTCTGGGTTGATGTGACTGCCCGTGGCCATTTATTTGGATAAATTAACTGGATGGCATTCTTTTTTTTTTTCAGGAAGTCACAGATGGAAGAGGAGAAAGGGGAGAAAATAACTAACACTTGATATAAATAATCCCTCAACAAAAATATATTCTTCAGTAGATATTAAAGATTCTTCTGAACTCAGGAATTCCAGAAATCTGATTATAAAGGGGAGAAGAGTGTCTTTAGAGACAATGGGAGCTTTGAAAAGATTCATCCTCAGGCTCCCCACAAACCCTTTACCCTGGAGGTGCTAGCAAACATTACCAGATGAGTATGTGTCTCTCATGTACAGTAGCCACTCATCCATAGGGGATAAAAGTCCCCACTGGACACCGGAAATCTCAGATATTACTGAACCCTTTATATACTATATTTTTCGTATACATACATAACTATGATAAAGTAAATTTATGAATTAGGCACAGTAAAAGATTAACAACAATAACAATATTCTAATAAAATAGAACAATTATAGCAATATATATACTGTAATAAAAGTTATGTGAACATGGTCTCTCTTTCAAGATATTTCATTGTACTGTAGCTCTTGGTAACCTTAGCATACAACTTTTTTTTTCTTAAATCAGGAATTTTTTACCTTTTCACGTAAGTGAAACATTTTATGACTTCTCTTTGGCATATCCAAATTGCCAGCATCACTACTCTTGCCCTTTGGGGCAATTATTAAGTAAAACAAGGCTTTCTTGAGCACAAGCACTGTGATACTTTGACAGTCTATCTGATCACCAAGATGGCTACTAATGGGCAGCGGGTAGTGTGTGCAGCGTAAATGTACTGGACAATTGGACGATTCACATCCTGGGAATGACAGCATGAGATTTCATTATGCTACAAAAAACAACGTGCAACTTAAATCTTGTGAATCGTTTATATTTAGAATTTTCCATTTAATATTTTCAGACTGCAGTTGACCAGTGGCAACTGAAACCATGGATAAAGGGGGACTCCTTACTGCATAACTATGAGGAATCCTCTGCTAAGGTACTGGAGTGGGGATTCAGCTGGTGTTTTCAAATATTTTACATAGTCACTTGCTAGCCATTCTGGGTTATGAATAAGGTAACCGTATGTGTTGTCATCCAAACTAGAACACCGTGGGAATGAAAGGTAGCACAAACAGTAATTAGCCTGGGACAAAAGTTGTAAACCTCTCTTACTAAGGAAACTGGAATGAATGGTCATCCTGGTTAGGAACCTTCCCTTTCCTTAACAGAAGATATTATTAAAACATAGATATATTACAAACATGTGCCATTAATCTAGTAAAATATCATGTTTTCAATGAATCTTTACTATTTTAACTTCAACTTACCAACTTTTAAAACTAAGCTTTTGAAGTTATTCTAAAATATAAAATGGTCAGTCAGCCTAAGAAGTGTCCGATCTGTTCAGAGAAAAAAAAAAAAATCACTATCTCAATTCAGGGTGTTGACAATATACAAAAGAATGGAAAATAAATATAAGGATTGTAATTGTTTATAAAGTGTGAATTTGACCTAACACAATTTATTTTAAACTATATCACCATATAAAAATTAGGCATTATGTTCTTGGAAATATATTGTGGTTGTAGATAAATAATTTTGTGCTTTTATTTTTTTGGTCCATTTGCTCATTTTCGTTGAATACTTTTTCTGTTTATATGATTCTATTTTCTGTTTCTTGGCATACCTAGATCACATCTTTTATCTTTTCTTCCTTTGTTCAGTTCTATGCATAGCACCTTTTTAGCTCGTTCTTGACATGGTGCATTCTCAACACTGTGTTAACTAAAACCTTTTAAAAACTTACTTTCAAATTTACCAACACTTAACTGATCTGAAGGATGTTTTTACTCCAATAATCATCAGATTATTATCAAAAGTTTTGGCATTCCTCTTTGATACAATTGAGCATTTGGGGGCTGGGATATCTTCCAGAACCACTAGTCATAAATTTCTTACTTCATATCTAGATGTTCTTAACTAATCTACTTTTACAGTATGAGTCCCATAACAGTGTATTGTCGGTAATATGGGAAAATCCAAAACTAAAAAAAAAACCCACCCATTTTTATCATTCAACATATTCACAGAAGAAGGTTCGTTATAATTATACATGATCTAAATTAAACTTGTAGGATTTACGAAGACATACGTCTAACAATAATGTTGAACAATTTACAATTTATTTTAACATTCACCCACTTGAATACAGGAGCTAATAGTAACATTCGCTGGGGGAAAGGGATGAACAGGTTTGGTCTACCTTTCTGTTTTTCCATGATTTTAAAGTACACTCACCTCCTCCGAAAGGTCCCCATATGACTCGGCGGATTGACTTCACCCAGTCTTCCATATCATTCTGGGTGCTTGCCATGAGGAGGTAGCTTTCATGATTTGCTGTCATCCGATCTCGATCGCCTCCTGTGAAAACACAGTAACAATGCAGCTGAAGTTGCATCCAGAGATTCCTCATGATCAGCCTCCAGAAGAACCCCTGAAACAGAGACTGTGCCTAATACAGCCCGCACTAAGTTCTACCCAATGATGAAATATTTACCATGGTTTCTGAGTGGAAAGAAAAATTTTAAAAAGGAGAGACTGTTATGCTTTCAGGAGAAAGCTGGAGAACAAATGTCATTTTCTAAACAAAGCCTGGGTTTTTTGTCCTAGCAACAACCCACAGGCCTGCATCAATTCGTAATCCAATCTATTCACGCGAAGCTGCTGAATAGGGAGAAACAGCAAAAACAAAATGAAAGACAGAGAAGGTGGAAAAGTGGTCCACAGAGTTTGGCCTTTCATTTGAAGCAAGCGTGGAACAGTCTGAGAACTGCATAGTGCACACACACAGAGGTCACCAGGACATCGTGATTGGATATGGGAGTTACAGGAAAGAGTAAAGAGCCACATGCAATGCCTTTGACCCAGAGGTTCTTCTCTATGCCTCTGTTCTGGAAGAGGAACCTCATCCCCCGAGATCACAACTTCAGGAGGGCAAACAAAGAGGAGGTAGGAAAGAAGAAGACATGCCTGGACAGCCACGAAGGCCAGATCAACACCCCCAATGGCTCTCGCACCTAAGGGTGAGCTTGAGGAAACCCCCGCAGTGCCTCTGTGCAAAATCTTGATGGTTTCTCTAGTATTTTTCCCCAAAGAACAATTCATGAACTTTAAAACCTTTATAATCTCTAATATCAACTTTGAAGTGCTAGACTTCCAAAGCATGTAATTTAATTTCTTAGAAGTCTTTTATAGCGCATTTAAGTTTCCCCAGTGAGTTAATTTTCCCACTTACAAAACAGGGATAACCATATTTGACCTTGAAACAGGTCTTGAGGCATGGTTTCGTTATACCTTTTATGTTTAAAGGAGTATTTCTGAAGACAAGTATCAGAGCCTGCACCCCTTCACTGTCTTTGAAAATAGTGTTGCTCACAGAAGGAATAATTAAAGAAATAGAATAGTATTTAACTGGATCCTGATAATATGTTAATATTATACTAACTTCTAAGGTACTCAAATATCTATCAACATTTAATTTTCATGCAGTGTTGTATACTTGATCCCTTGGGTTGAATTAATTCATATCTGAGTGTTGTGTTTGGTTAAGATGTTGTTTGTTTGTTTGTAAGTGGATCTAAATACTTTTATAAGGAGTTTACAGGCTCCAGTTTACAACAGGCACCACACCCACTATTATTTCACACTCAATCTGGTCCACACATAGTTCTGAAAGTTACAGGCATTAAAGTTTAGTGACCTCTGAATTCTATATGAATGCTCTAGGTTGAGAAGGACAACTATTCTAGCATTGATATAAATTTTTGGAACAGGTGATAAGTCAGAGAAGCGCAATAACTATAAGCCAACCAGTTGAACAACTAGTATTGGTGCATTACATTTTAATACAACTAAATGGGAACAGAGGAAGGGCTCAAAAAAACTATATCAAATAGGTTTCCATATGTTGACAAATCTTTTGAATAAATAAAACTAGCCTCCTTATATTACAGCAAACATCTCACTACTAGGGAAACAGTGATTCTTTTACATGTCTAGTTCCACTCTAGGTTGATCATCAGTGATCCCCAACCTTTTTGGTACCAGGGACCCAGTTTTGTGGAAGACATTGTTTCCACAAATGGGGTGGTGGGGGGGGATGGTTTCGGAATGGAACTGTTCCACCTTAGATCATCAGGCGTTAGTTCAACTATCATAAGGAGCGGGCAGCCTAGATCCCTCTCAGGTGCAGTTCACAACAGGGTTTGCTCCTGTGAGAATCTAATGCTGCCACTGATCTGACAGGAGGAGGAGCTCAGGCAGTAATGCTCACTTGCCCCTGGCTCACCTCCTACTGTGGGGCCCAGGGGTTGGGGTCCCCTGCTTTAAACAACTCGTATCTGAAAAAGCATAGATTTCGAAGTCAAAGAAAACCCAGCTAGAATCACAGTTTTATCTTATACTAGCTGTTTGACTTCCAGGGAGTTATTTAACTTCTGGAAACTCAGTGATCTTTTTTTTTAAAAAAACTTTTATTTTAAGTTCAGGGATACATGTTCAGGTTTGTTATACAGATAAACTTGTGTCATGGGGATTTGTTGTACAGATTATTTCATCACCCAGGTACTAAGCCTAGTACTCATTATTTTTCCTGATTTTCTCCCTCCTTCCACCTTCCACCCTTTGATAGGCCCCAGTCAGTGCATGTTGTTCCCCTCTATGTGCCTATGTGTTCTCACTATTTAGCTCCCACTTATAAGTGAGATCATGCAGTATTTGGTTTTCTGTTCCTGTGGTAGTTTGCTAAGGATAATGGCCTCCAGCTCCATTCATGTCCCTGCAAAGAACATGATCTTGTTCTTTTTTTAAATGGCTACATAGTGTTCCGTGGTGTACGTGTAACACATTTTCTTTATCCAGTCTGTCATTTGATGGGCATTTGGTTTGATTCCATGTCTTCACTATTGTGAATAATGTTGAAATGCACATATGTGTGCATGTATCTTTATAATAGAATGACTTATATTCCTTTGGGTATATACCCAATAATGGGATTGCTTGGTCAGATGGTATTTCTGTCTTTAGGTCTTTGAGGAATCAACACTCTGTCTTCCACATTGTTGAACTAATTTATATGCCCACCAACAGTGTATAAGTGTTCCTGTTTCTCCACAACCTTGCCAGCATTTGTTATTATTATTTTTTGACTTTTTAATAATAGCCATTCTGACTGGTGTGAGATGGTATCTTATTGTGGTTTTGATTTGCATTTCTCTAACGATCAATGATGTTGAGCTTTTTTTCATATGATTGTTTGCCACATGTATGTCTTCTTTTGAAAAGTGTGTGTTCATTTCCTTTGACCACTTTTTAATGGGGCTGTTTTTTTCTTGTGAATTTGTTTAAGTTCCTCATAGATGCTAGATATTAGAACTTTGTCAGATGCATGCAAAAATTTTCTCCCATTCTGTAGGCTGTCTGTTCACTCTGTTGGTAGTTTCTTTTGCTGTGCAGAAGTTCTTTGGTTTAATTAGATCCCATTTGTCAATATTTGCTTTTCTTGAAATTGCTTTTGGCATTTTCATCATGAAATCTTTGCCTGTGTCTATGTCCTGAATGGTATTGCCTAGGTTGTCTTCCAGGGTTTTTATAATTTTGAGTTTTATATTTAAGTCTTTAATCCATCTGGAGTTGATTTTTGTATATGGTATAAGGGAGGAGTCTGAAACTTAGTCATCTTGATCATGCTTTAGAGACAATTATATATACTTAGTCAATTTTTGTGAGAATTCAACAAAATAAAGCAATAAAAATACTAGCACTGTGTTAGGCAAAAGTAGAAATGTTGTAAATATTAAATTTATGTCATTTAATTGTCTCTCACCCTTACCTATGCAAAAAGTACATATTACATTAATCGATCCCAGAGATATTAAATCTAATAAGTGTTTGAGAACAATTAGTCAATAGTAACAGGGATGTTCTAAAAGTGTTATCTTTCT
Organism: Homo sapiens; assembly: GCF_000001405.40. Taxonomy (NCBI): domain Eukaryota; kingdom Metazoa; phylum Chordata; class Mammalia; order Primates; family Hominidae; genus Homo; species Homo sapiens. The sequence goes on along the minus strand of NC_000004.12, from coordinate 85,920,066 downwards.
TGATACACATATGCACACCAAAGCACATTAAAATTACATACCGCACATGTAAACATACCATACGTTAATATGCATATACATGGCTGTATGACATATAAGTGGCAGAAGTAACTAAATGGCACAATAAAAAGATGCTTCATTTAGCATGGCGCAGTTCTAAAAATCAATTTTGTATTCTGATCCACTTATACCACAGTATCGGGCCCAAAATATTATCATTTTGAAATCAGAATATTGTAATTATTGTCTTTGCCTGAAGGATGCTTAGCAATTCAGAGAGCAATATCCTGCTGTGTCACTCCAGGTCTAGTAATTAGAGTGAGTGGCAGCCGCTACAGTGTGTATCTGCCTGAAAGCAGAGGAAAAAGAATGATATGCACAACTGGCCATTATCCCCTGACTTTTCATTTGATGCTTTATCTCTGCCAGTGGTGCTGCGTGTCTGACCCTGAATCTCATTTAGACTGCCAATCACAGATACAAAATCCCATCTGTGAATTTCATCTATGGATCTAGACCTTCATTCCTCATTTTAACGGCAAGGGGTGGGGCATGATTGAGAAAAAGTTTTTGTATGATTCTTTGTGTAAATATAGACTTATTACTAAGGGTGTGGCTAAACAATTATGTAGATATAATTTCTATAGATATGAACTAGATACTCTGTACTAAAAATAGGTGATTTCTAACTGAAAGTGCCATCTGTTCTAATGCATAACCCCTCAGTTCTAAGAGCCTGGCACTGCCTTGCAAGTGAAGGGGCTTAAAAATAACTTACCAAAGATATGATTTGATAAATGAATAAACTCAGAATTTTGACTTTCAATCATGTGGCTCAAGATTCACTTTCTTCGTTAGCCCTTTACGGGACTTAATGATCTATTTAACCATTTCGAATAAAAAATTCTTTCAAGAGGTGAAATTTTTAAAAGCAATGTTGAGATCTAATTATCACTGGAGTGGTGAGAGTTTCCCAGTCTTCAATCCATATGTGATATGTGTGTGTATTATATCACATTATATTCATGTTACGTGAACAAGTACACATTCTACTTTCTTCATTTCTGCATGGACATAAATATCTTATGCAGTTGTAATCTTTAAATACTACTACTTTAAATGATACTAGATTTGTTCGCATTTTAAATAACACATGTCGGAAAGTAGTATACAACTTTTAGATGTTAACTCTTGTTGGTAGCAATGCTTTAGTGCTACTGTTGACACATCAACCATTTATGATTTTGTTAACTAAGTTGGCCACATCATTCAATTTTACTTGTTTATATCTAATTGAAGGTATTTGTACATTTTGTTGAGATATGCTATATATTTGGATTTGACATAAATTTTTCTTTCTTAAAAATAAAATAGATTCTCTTAAATAGATGCTTGACATGATCAACTTTTACAAAAATTAAAAGTTAGATTAAGAAAAGCTTAATGGATTTAATAGACTAAGAAATGTGTAATAAAAAATTAAAAGGTAGGTTAAAGAAATCAACATAAAATAATGCATAGTTAATTCTAAAATGAAATGTAAATATCCATTAACTGTATGAAAACATTGACACTTTTAGTAATTACAAAATAATAATTTCAAAAATTATACTTTTAATAAATACATTTGAAAATAATTCTTAATTTTTTGAGAGGAATATTAAAAATAGTATACTAAGTAAGCAAATGATACCAACATGCTCATTGCTTATAGACATATGGATAATATTCCTTATGATGCAGTCACTAAAACATGATTTTGAAGTTTATTAATATGAGTTTTTATTATATAAAAGTAGATATATAAATTTTATGTATGATATTATCTCAATTTGTATATAGGTGGAAAGTTAGAAAAATAAGATACTAGATTGAAATACACAATAATTTTAACAATAACTATCTCTGATTGCTAAGATTGGGAGATTTTTTGCTCTCCTTTTGTACTTTTCTATAATTTCCAGATGTTAACCATGCATCATTTTATAATAAATGTATTGTCTCGGATGCTCTACTATGTATTTATTCCATTGAGTGTCCTCAATGGAAGATTTGGGACATGAGACCTATGTTGCTCAAAGCCCAGACTACGTCAGGTAACTAGGACTTTCTTAGTGACAAAAAGATTGCTACTATTACGTGCATTAAAGGTTGTTCCTATGTGCATTACTTTTCTAAAAATTATACTCTAAGAAACATTTTATTGTACTTATTGTGTGAAAAGTTCCAAAAATAGCCACCAAAGTAGGCTTTTGCTATTTTTCTTTTGAAGAAAATAAATGTAAGTTGTCAATAAAATTGTGAACTAAAAAACAAACAGTTTCTTAGAAGTGATGTCTTTCTTCACTTCTCAAAAGAAGACATTTATGCAGCCAAAAAACACATGAAAAAATGCCAACATCACTGGCCATCAGAGAAATGCAAATCAAAACCACAGTGAGATACCATCTCACACCAGTTAGAATGGCAATCATTAAAAAGTCAGGAAACAACAGATGTTGGAGAGGATGTGGAGAAATAGGAACACTTTTACACTGTTGGTGGGACTGTAAACTAGTTCAACCATTGTGGAAGTCAGTGTGGCGATTCCTCAGGGATCTAGAACTAGAAATACCATTTGACCCAGCCATCCCATTACTGGGTATATACCCAAAGGACTATAAATCATGCTGCTATAAAGACACATGCACACGTATGTTTATTGCGGCACTATTCACAATAGCAAAGACTTGGAACCAACCCAGATGTTCAACAATGATAGACTGGATTAAGAAAATGTGGCACATATACACCATGGAATACTATGCAGCCATAAAAAATGATGAGTTCATGTCCTTTGTAGGGACATGGATGAAATTGGAAATCATCATTCTCAGTAATCTATTGCAAGGACAAAAAACCAAACACTGCATGTTCTCACTCATAGGTGGGAATTGAACAATGAGAACACATGGACACAGGAAGGGGAACATCACACTTTGGGGACTGTTGTGGGGTGGAGGGAGGGGGGAAGGATAGCATTAGGAGGTATACCTACTGCTAAATGACGAGTTAATGGGTGCAGCACACCAATATGGCACATGTATACATATGTAACTAACCTGCACATCGTGCACATGTACCCTAAAACTTAAAGTATAATAATAATAAAATAAAAAAAAGAAGTGATGTCTTTCTTAGAAGATATGTGCATCATCTCCAATAAATAATTATTTAAATATTGCAGTGAATTATTTGTTTGCATTTAAATTTTTAAACAAGTTGCAGTTGCACAAAGGAAACTGCTGTCACAGACATTTGAGTTAGTTTCCAAGACAAGTTCACAGTAGAGAACTGAGGACATTTCAGTGAATACTCAGATGCTGTTAATAACTTCCAGGGTGAATTGTTTCCTCATTCCCAACTGCAAATCAGTTGAAAACTAGACTGTTCTACTATCCATTTTATTACAGACTACAGAAAAATACTGGAAATTTATGTCATTTAATTGTCATTTAGAATACAGAGTTAATAATTTTCACTCATACAACTATAAGCTCTTATTTATTTATTTATTTTTTTAAGTATTACTTTCCCCAACTTTAGTGGGATGGAGAGTTCTGTAGATGTGTATTAAGTTCACCTGGTCGAAAATTAACAAGGATATTCAGAACTTGAACTCAGCTCTGGACCAGGTGAAGAAGCTATCATCAGAGTGAACATGCAACCTACAGAATGGGAGAAAATTTTTGCAATCTATCCATCTGATGAAGGGCTAATATCCAGAAGCTACAAGGAACTTAAATAAACTACAAGAGAAAAAACAACCCCACCAAAAAGTGGTGAAGGACACGAACAGACACTTCTCAAAAGAAGACATTTATGCGGCCAACAAACATGAAAAAAAGCTCATCATCACTGGTCATTAGAGAAATGCAAATCAAAACCACAATAGATACCATCTCACACCAGTTAGAATGGCGATCATTAAAAGTCAGGAAACAACAGATGCTAGAGAGGATGTAGAGAAATAGGAACAATTTTACACTGTTGGTGGGAGTGTAAATTAGTTCAACTGTTGTGGAAGACAGTGTGTTGATTCCTCCAGGATCTAGAACCAGAAATGCCGTTTGACCCAGCAACCCCATTACTGGGTATATACCCAAAGGATTATAAATCATTCTGCTATAAAGACACATGCACACGTATGTTTACTGCAGCACTATTCACAATAGGAAAGACTTGGAACCAACCCAAATGCCCATCAATGATAGACTGGATAAAGAAAATGTGGCACATATACAGCATGGAATACTATGCAGCCATAAAAAAGGATGAGTTCATTTCCTTTGCAGGGACCTAGATGAAGCTGGAAACCATCATTCTCAGCAGACTAACACAGGAACAGAAAATCAAACACCACGTGTTCTCACTCATAAGTGGGAGTTGAACGACGAGAACACATGAATACAGGGAGGGGAATATCACACACTGGGGCTTATTGGGGCGTGGGGGGCTAGGGGAGGGATAGCATTAAGAGCAATACCTAATGCAGATGACAGGTTGATGGGTGCGGCAAACCACCATGGCACGTGTATACCTATGTAACAAACCTGCACATTCCGCACATGTATCCCATAACTTAAAGTATAAATAAATAAATAAGAAAGTGATGACTGATTTATCTTTCAAGTAAATATTGACTTTTATTTTGGTCATGTTTTTAAAAAAGTATAATTGTGATACATTTACTTTTCAGTGATTTATGAAACTTTTAAAATCTCAAATAGGCTAAGTTTATATTTCACTATTTTTCGCATTTCTTGGACTTATTCCTTCAAAAGTGTGCTATTTGTGCTGAGCATGTCAAAGATAAGAATGATATAATGTATTATGTTTTGAATACTTGTTTCCCAGATTACACTGGGAAGTTAACAATTTAAGTCCAACAGTATATTCTGACTTCCACTTTTGTCAGAGATTCAGAATCTAGTTACTTCCTTCACAGTATGTAATTACATTCTTCTGATAGAATCTTCCAAGAAATAAAGGTAGAACATTTTCTTGGCAGAGCTAAAGTATCTAGAATTTATATCCTCTTCTAATTTAGTTTGGTTTAGGTTGGGAGATTCATGTCAAAATATCTGATTGACATAGGAGGAAGGCTGCTATGAGAGATGGTATTTATGTTCAGATCAGTGTTCCTCCACCAATGCTGATACAGACTAGAATTACAAGAGAAAGCAAATCCTGGTGCAATAATCCACAACAGGTAGCAAATGGAATACCACTTCTTTAGGAGCAAGACAGGGAGTTTGTTGACTTACAAATGAACTTAAAACTAAAGGCATTTTCTATCAGGATGTCCTCTAACGGTATGGTTGACTTGAATACTGAGGAAAATTGGTGAGAAGTATAGGCATTCCTAATGGTCATGAAAGTTAAAAACAAGAAGGTCTCAATAAGTTGATAAAGGGCCAAAGATTCTTCACATAGGGGAAGAAATGTGAAATTATATTGAACTTTATATTCCCTATAAACATGGTGATAAACCCTCTATTGCAGGGTTACTTAAAATGTGATGAAAACTTCAGTGTATACGTCTAAGATGACAGCAAATAACCTCGGCAGCACCCGGAAACTTGTTAGAAATGGGAATTCTTGGACCTCATTCCACACTAACTGAATCAAAATGGCAATGGGACCCTGCAATCTGTGCTTTTAAGATGCCTGCTGGGTGATCCCGATGCATCATAAAGTTTGAGAACCACTACTCTTATAAGATAATTCGCTATAGCAGGTAGAGGCTATAAATTTTAGAATTCATGTATTTCAACCACACTCATCCTATTAGCTTGTATTCATGTCTTATTCCTTCAGTGACAGCCATTCAGCCAGAAAGTACTAAGCTTTAAAGCTATGGATCATATAACTTATCTAAATGCCTATTTGCATTGTAAATGATTAACCCTGCAACTAGTTCTGCAAGGACATGTCATTCATGTTGAGATGACTGAGTCTGGCAAATTTGTGAGCTTCATGTATTGAAGATACCATACTTATATCAAAGCAAACATTAAGGTATTTCTCTTTGCATTGGAATACAGATTCATTATACCTCTTTCCCTGATGCCTAGAGTTTGATGAGTTAAATAGGACATTGAATTCAGAGAGACGTGCCACTTTTGAAATCTGGATTAAAATGTTCAAATCCATTTTAAAAATTCCCTCAGAACTTACTCATTTTATTGTTTATTAATATTACAAATCTGCAAGACTCATAATATCAGATGACACTTGCTGGGTGATCTACAGTTTACAAATTACTTTTATATCCTTTGATTCATTTGGTTTTTACAAGAACCCTAGGAGGTAAAGCAGAGCATTCATTCATTTATTCAACACATTTATTGAACACCTGTTGTTATGCCAGTCACTATTCTAGTTCTGAGGATACAGCAGTGAATAAAACAAAGGCTGGAGTTTACGGGAGAGGTCTAGACCAAAGGCATACATTTGGAAGTCACCAATGAGATGATATTTAAAGACAGGGACCTAAATGAGATCCCCAGGTAATACTGTAGCTATGGTGAAGAAAATTTAGTAAGGCAAAGAAAGAAACAAGAGAGGCTGAATAAAAATGGAGATCATCAAGTCAAATGCTGTTGACAAGTCAAATAAGATGAAAAGTGTGTGAATATAGACTACAAGATTAGGGAAAATGGAGGTCATTAGATTAGGCAACTAGATGTAGGTAACTGGATTAGGGAATGAGGAAGTTTTTTGAACAACTTTACAGGAGCTGTTTCAATCCAACAGATCAGCACAAATGAAATTCTGCCTGGAATGTGTTCATAAGATTACAGAGGGAAGCAAACAGAAAAGGCCAGTCTAAACAAATCTTTCAGGCATTTTAATGTATTAAGGAGTAGAGAAATGGGGGCAGCAATGGCTGGATGGGTGAGTTGTGGTACAAGGAGGTTTAAAATGAGAAATATTAAGGAATGTTTATATGTTCATGGGAATTATTCATTGGAGAGGGAAAAATTGATAATGTAGGAGAGATGAGGTTTAAAGACTCATCCATAATTTTTTAAAGCTATGCAAAAAATTTTTCACTCTTCTCAGGATCTTTAATAAGGTTCGACAATCCATATAATCGCTTTCACCCCAAAGTATGTTACTTTACAAATACAGAAAACATCTAGAAAAGAATTATTGAAAGAAAAAAAAATAGCATTGAGCAGTTTTCTTTACAACTCTACCTGGGGGCAAAATAAGGAAGGAAGGTGGTTAAACTCATAAATCATTTTCAAAGTTAAATTTTACTATTTTTATTTTAAAACAAGTTTTAATATTTACTGAATAAGAGATTATTGGCAACGTTATTTAATTGGAACAACTTTCTTCATACAGTATCTCTTAGTGTTAACTGCTATGGATGCTAATTACCCAATTTTACATAGCAGCAATTTTAGAGAATGTGTTTGGGTATACACAAAAGAAGTGATATTTTGAAATAAAATACTATGATAGCACAAAACTAAATTATTCCACCCAGCAAATGACAGCTACTGATTATTGTAGTAGTGTAAAAATAAGAAAAACTCTAATTTGGGTTTAAATTTTTTTTATCTTAAGCAATTACAATTGGTTTGCAATCACAACAGCTTAACCGTCCATTGTGCTTTTTCTCCCACAGTTTATGTCTGAATTTTCTGGATTTTGTGAGCTCCAGTGTATATGTGTGGGAGAGCAGGATGTGAAATTTTTCTTATGGGCCTGGAATTTAAACTCCACCATTTAGATAAAGGCACGCTGCTTCATAGAACATACATCATTTGTATAATGTTTCAAAAATCTAATATGGAGAAAAATATTGGTATTTCAGGACCATTATCACTTCCACAGCTAAGGATACTTGGGGATATTTTCTTAACTCATTTGATATAAACATATTTCAAATCAACTATGATTTCATCAAGTAAACTCTTCCTTCAACATATGTTGAAAATAATGCTCACCCTGTTAATTCTTCAATCTGTTTCTAGAATTAGGGGGTCTCACCTAATTGTAATGGGACTCACCTATTCTAATTACAAGTAATTTTAAGACCCTACAAAAGGAGTGGAGGCCAGAAGGCCACAAGTTATTCCCAAACTGACTGTAGACATAGAAGTTCTTATAAAGAATGTTAACCTGTATCTGCTTCTTAATACAAATGCTTGTATGCTAATTTTAGATAATATTAAGTAAGTGGATAAAAATCTGAATTTCCTCCTTAAAACTGTGACTCCCAATAATCATTTGCAGGTGGCTAAAAGCATATTGTTGTAGTCTTATGTTTAAAAATTACAACAAATGAGAATAATTTAGGGAATCATCACAAAGCTGAAAAATCTTAAACCATTTCAGGAACTCCTTTCCACCTCTCAAAATAGTCTTCAATGACTTCCCAAACCTTAAAAAATGGTGACTGTCCTTAGCAAAATAAGGCACAATGTCTTCAATGTTCTCATAAGCATCCACTTATCAGCAAATACGATAAAACTTTTAAAAGTCACCCATTTTTTACATGAAATTGAGAAAATTGATTTAAATTAAAACTCTTTAAAATTAAACAGAAACAAAGGCAAGCTAGAGTGTCTAGAAAATGTTGCCAGGACTTTTTCATTGTTTTAATTTTTTTTTTCTTTTTTTTGGTTATGTATTATTGATGGCAGTGGCCGCTCCAGACAGCCTGCCACTGCCATCATGCAGGTTGTAGCAGGGAGGCACTGCCAGAGCTGCACAAGCCGGCAGGAGCCAGGGACAAGTGGAGCCCGGTACAAGTGGGAGCCCCACCCCATTCGAGTTAGGGCGGGAGCTCCCCAGATTTCACTGCAGCCACCCAAACCAGGCTGCAGACCCAGGCCTCTTGCTCTGTGGAGCAGGCAGGAGCCCCGCCCTCCTGGGTGCAGGTGCAGCTGCAGCCATCCAAACTGCAGCTGCAGACTCAGGCATTCCTGTACTCTTGAGGACCCAGGAAGGCCCTCCTGCCCTCACAGGCTCGGAAATGCCTGCCCCTGCTGCCTAGCTTCTCCCTCCTGCCAGTGTCCACTCCGATCTCAGAGCAAAGTCAGGGTGGAGCAGGGCACCATGAAAGCCAGTGGGAGGCAGACAGATTCCTGGATGGGAGGGGGTGGGTCTCGGGTGAGGCCCCACCTTCAGGCCGGGGATGACCTGAAGGCTGGGGGCCAGGTAGCCAGTCTCACCGAGGGACAGGAGTGGGAACTTGTGAAGCCTTTTCTGGGCTGCCCATGGCAGCCCACGGACCAGTTGTGTGCACTTCCAACCCTCTGAGGCCCATGAAACCCTTGGGCTCAGCCAGAGCTGAGCAGATGATGGGTTGACCTGCCTGCAGAGAGGAGCTACTCTCTCTGCTAATAGCAGGAGTTGTAGGGCGAACAGCTGCAGAGAGGAGCAACACACTCCAGGGCCTCCTGTCTGCTGAGAACTGCAGACATGACGGGACGACCTGTCTACAGAGAGGAGCTTCCCACTCCAGGTTCTCCTCTCTGCTAGGAGCTGAACACTCGTTGGGACACCCTGACTGTGGAAAGGAGCTACCCGCTGTGGGTCTATTGTGAACTGTTCTATTGCTCAACAAAGCTCCTCTTCATTTTGCTTGCCCTCCACTTGTCTGAGTTCTTGGTCGCAGGACAAGAACTTGGAGCCTGCTGAATGGCAGAGCTAAAAGAGCTACAACACAGGGCTGAAACATGCCCCTTAGCTCTCCACGTTGCAGGCAAAGAGGAGAAAAGAACCGTGGTCCCTCAGGGAGCTCAGACTTGGGAGTTCCCCAGGCCAGGGCTGTGACTCCCTCTTTGGGGTCCTGTGGTACCTGACGTTTTCAAGCTTCTGGGCACCACTGCGTTCCCCGGTGCCAGCCAGTGAAGCTGCTTGCAGTGCACCTGGTCTAGCCGCAGCCTGGCTGAGAGCCAGTGCCTGTGCCGGCACCTGGAGCTGCAGGTCCCGTTGCAGCAGCCAGTGTGTCTGACTATGCAGTGGCCGGACCCCATGCTCACTCACACACTCCATGCCTGACTCTCCCTTGGCAGGCGTGGGATCCAGGCCAGTAGTGTCAGCCGAATGTAGCCTGCCAGGCCAAGTAGGAGGAAAAAGCCCAGCGGGCCTGAGCAACACTCAGGCAAAGGTGCCACTGGCCAGAGGTTTCAGGCCAGAAAAGGGACACCCCAAGGATCCTGTAACATGATCTTTCATATCTAGTACAAATAACTAATTCTTTGAATTCCTATAGCTCTACAATTTTCTAGACACCCTCATTAAATTAAAATTTGATCTTTCCTGCTGATAGATTGATGCTGTGCATTTCATAATTTTAAATTAAAGAGTAATCAGCCAGAATCCACAAGTCAATTCAACCTAGCATTCCATCATTAATTAACACTTAATGAACACCCATGGGTTTATGCAGCAGTATTAGAAGTCGGTAAACCAGTCGCTGTTTGGGGGCATCTTGTCTGATTCATATGTAATTACCAACCTAAATTTGGCTAAAGTCCAAATACAGATTGACAATTCAACAGGCATATTGCTAAACTAAAGGCAACATTCCTTGAATAAGATTCTCATTACCCAATAAGACGTGATAGAATATTTTGTTAAATATAATGTAAGAAAGCCACCAAAGAGGGAACAGATATGTGCAGTCTTTCTTAATCTTATCTGATGGGGAGGAACATGTTTACACACATACATACACACACCACAAATTAAAAAAAACAAAACAAAAGAAAACCCATATAAATCCAGTTATTTACTGAAGGTTTTGTAGTTGAAAGCAAGTTTAAATCAAGATCACTGTGTTTCTCTATGGTAGACTCTGCAAACACCTCAAAGTTAGCAAACTCAGTATTTTAGATATTGAAAAAACCTAAGCCCACTCAGAATACCTCAAGGAAGCAAGACTTAAACCTTTAACTTCAAAATCAGACCTGGAAGTATAGTCAGTTAAGCTGAATTAAGTAAAACCCAAGATATTTCTTGGCTAAATGATTAGTGAATTGGAATTATTTGGCTCCATTCATTACTTATTGTTCTTTAATATGTCTACAAGCTAGACCTAAAGCATATTGAAACTCAGGTAGGGATGACCCTTGATGGTTTACAACATCCTGAGCATTAAAACTAATTTGTTTCCATTAAGGCTTTCTTTTTTTTTTTCTTTTTAATTATCTGAGAAAGCTTTTTGTTAGGTAAACAGTTCTCGATACTATCTGTATGTACTTCCCTGACTCCCTTGCTCTGGGATTATCTATGCCTGGCTCTGTATTTTGACCAAAACTCACTACTCTTTAGAAGACTTTTCTACAGGGAACTCTTATTCAGAGTTCTACCATTGTCTCTTAGACTGGAAAATCTCCTTCACTATTATTAGAATCATTATTATTACACTTTAGTAAGTAATCCCTTTGGAGAGAAGCCCCCTTTGTTGAGTGTGTCATCTTTTTCAGTTGGGACTCTGATACAGTTTAATTTGCATAAATGATATGTGTACCTTTCAAATTACAACATTCTCCTCATTCCTAGAAGCCTAAATATCTAGCAACTTTAGTGCAAAGGAAAAACATAATAACTTACAACTAGTTTAATGCTACACCTTCTTAAATTTTTTTACTTTCAAGACTGCCAAGTCACTGTGATGAGTACAGAAATAATATATATTTTCTATCCACCAGGACCTTGTGATCTTAATAAGGAGACAAACCATGAAATGAGGAAGATGGCAAAGAAGACATGAACTGAGCAGAGTCAGGTGCAATCATTTATGCTATAAAGAGTAAGGAGTATCATCTGTTAAGAAAATAGAAAATAAATATTGACTTATGTTATCAGGGAGGATGTTCTGAAAGCAGGGGAACTTGAAAAGTGTTTTGACAAATAGTCCCAAAGTTGAGATGGTGGTGTAGATGGGGAGAGGAATATAAGGACATGTGAGGATTAGTGTGCTTGAAGACCTAGCTCAAGTGTCTCTTCTGCAGTGTAGCTTTTTCAAGTTGAGTTGGTTTCCACCTGCTCTGAACTTCCTCCAGCTTACATCCAAGCTCCGAGACGGTTGCCAAAAGAATTGTCTTTTGCCCTTTTTTCCGAGCCTTATTTTGCTCTTCCTGTATATTGCCACCTTTTTCCAGGCTCACTGCTTGCAAGTAACTCTCCACTATTAGAGGATCCGCAATACAGGAAGAGTAGCAGCAAGGCATCATTTTTGAGATGAGTTCATCTTAAACAATAATATATGGCAGGCACCAAACTAATTAAGAGCCATGGATACAATGAAAATTAAGACACAATTCTTATCCATTAGTAATCTACTGTCTAATGAGGGAATAAACAAGCATATGAATCTCCAATTTCTAATCCCAATATAAGCAAGGTCATTCTAGGTAAGTACAATACTTAGACACACATACACACACATATGCAGACAAGCACATATGTACACACATACACACAGATGCTCACACATATGTGCACCTTTGCTGGTAATTATGTATCAGCCAATAATTCATTTGCAGAGGAGCTAACCAAAAAGAGAAAATGTGTCATGTTGATGTCATTCAAGAAAGCAATTTCAAAAAGAGGATAAAGTGCATAATCCCTGATGAATATCAAGATAATACGTCTTTTCCTGTGGATATGTCTACTTAGGTTTTGTAAAGTGATTCAGATGAGAAAAATATATTTGAACATTTTAATAAATATAACATTTTAAATTAAATGGACTACATTTGTTTGTCTATTTATTTTTAAGTTGGCAGTTACAGGAAAGCCAAATGACAAGCTGACCACAGGAGGGTTTTCCCTTTTCTTGGAACCTAGAAACATATTAACACTAGGAATATATTAACAATTACAAGGGGGTAAAACAGCATTTGAAACTCTGATATGGGAGCTCAGAGTTCAGCTAAGGCTGAGTCCTTATTTCATAGCTAGATGTCTGAGCAAGCAAGAGTTCGTGTAAATCAGATTATTTTTCCATTCATTTTGATTCTAACGAAGATGAAAAGAATCAATTAATTCCTTCCATAGTCAGTCTCCATTTTTACCAATGTCTTCCCTTCTGCCAGAACTTAAGCTTTCTCCCTTCTTTAAAATAGAAACGATGAAAATGTCTCCCCAATTTACAAATAGAGTGGACTAACAAGTGAGAGGAATCCGCCTAAGATATGAGCTCCTGTTTAAATATAAAAAAAATCTCTTCTTTTTGTCTTTCATCCCTCTCTTCATGTAATTTTGTTTATAAGTCAACCTATTACTGACTTCCATGATGCTAATAACTACACTGCCCAAACTTATGATTATTTAAAAAAATCTTAAAAGCTAGTAATGATGAAATGTGGAGATCCACTATTTATTTCTGTGAAATATGGGTCAATATGGTGATTTTTGTTTCACTATAATTTTCAGGCATCTTTTGCTCTTAGTTTATGTTAGCTTGTAAAGCTAGAGCTAGGATAGTACAAAATTTAACTAGCACCAAAATACTCAGTAATCAAGATAAATAATATTTTTATAACATTAAAAAACTAGTTATCATAGAAAATTCATAATGAGCAAAATGTCAGAATTAAGATGGGATCACTATTACTGATTTTTGCTTTTGCTTTAAGCTTCAGTATCACCATGACTGATCCTGGCCTTTTTCATTTGAATATTATCAACCCTAACTAGTACCTTCTTTCTCAACCCAGTTTCCACCAAGTAAGCACACCATCTCCAGCCATATGACATGGGTGTCCTCATTTATTTGACTATAAGGAACAACAGAGTGATATAAGCAGCTTCCTAATGTGAGTGGTGGGTTTAATTATGCTGGAAAAATCTATAATGTGTACTTTGTATGCTATAGTGGTTGCCATAATTCTGAAATATTTATCATAGGTTTCCACTATTTTCCATGAGAAGAGTGAAAAATTTTAATAAGTGTCTGCACATTCTCTCTTTATTATAAGGCTTCTGCATTTTACTACTCCTTCACTAAACAATGTCTTTAGCCTCTAGCTCCAGGTTAAATACAGCTTAGCAGTGACCTTGGTGCCAAGAAAAAATGAGCTGATGGTTTTATTTCAGCTCCTTCTTGGCAGATGTCCAGTGTACTAATTGGTACACAGGTGACAGTGCCACGAACAAACCAAGGTGAAACAAATATGAAAAGCAACCCAAGTGCACAATTTGAGATCATCTACATACTTGAAACCAAGCATATAAAGTTTTTTTTGCCTTGCATCATTAAATATGGGGGTGGGAGAAACCGACTGCTTCTGACAGTCCTACTATGGCAATTTATTATCATTTAAGGTAAAGTGCTCTTCACATGCATTTAGGAGTAAGGTGCAACAATAAACTAATGTGCAACAGAAGCTCAGGGAGAAGACTGATGCTCAGTGGGAAACAAATGCAAGGGAATTCTCTTTCCACACAGAACTTGTGGAAGCGTAGTTCTTTATTCACTTGCAGACATTTTCAAGGAAACTTACTGAGTGAATTGCACAGGGCTATTTTCCAAAAAGGAAGGAAAAATAGGAACAAGAGAGGAAGGGATGAACGAAGGAAGAAACATGGGGAAGTGAGTATATGGTGTGAATATTCATATAGTATGTAAGAGTTAATTATCACAATTTTTTTCATGCCAAAAAAACAGACTGTCTTTTCTGAAAGTATAAGAAGATTTGAAGACAATCTCTTGTAATAAATGGGATAATGTACATAATATGCCTAGCTTACTGGCTAGCCCGTATGACTTAAAAAAATGCTGGTTAGTAAATCATCTCTCACCCTTCTTTCTCCTCTTTTCAGTAATGTAAAACAAACACTACTTTGCCCTTAAAAAATAACATTTCCAATACTATGGAAATGCATCCTTTCTTAGATTTTGACCCTATCTGTACCCCTATATCCAGACTGCTCTAATGTTTTTTGTAATGGAAGAAAAAACAAATTAAATGTAATTCAAATTGCTTTAAGCATATTAAATTAAATTAAATACCAAGTAACCAATCTTGAAAAGTCTTCTGTCCCCTAAGCACTATGTTAGGTTTCATTCTACAATTAAAGGCAACAATCGCATTTGTAATTTGTTTTTTATACCAGTCTGTTTTGGGGTTTTGTGATATGAAAAAGATCACTCACCAACAAAAAGCATTTACTTGCAAATTTTAATTCAGCAGATATTTAATAATGCCTGAACAAGAGCACTTTTAGTAGTTTAGCTTCATATAAATTGCCACCTAAATAACTGAAACAGATCATTTGTTTTGCATATTTTTGCTTTCTTTCTAATTATTTCATCCAATAAAGAACACACAAAAATTGTGTAAATCCTTGGTATTTCATTTCTGAATGCCATGTTAGGTAATACCAATATTTCATTCACAGGCCTAAACCAAAAATTAATTTTCAGTTTTGAATGTTGCACATTCTCAAAAGCATTATATTGCATTAAAAATTGGTAGTAATGTGAATAACACTTTAAATCCTGTCAAATTTCATTTAGTAGCATTTCTCAAAGACATTTGATATAGTTTGTATATTTGTCTCTGCCCAGATCACATGCTGAATTGCAATCCCCAATGTTGGAGGTGGGGACTGAGAGGGAAGTGTTCCAATAATGGGCGCAGATATCTGACAACTTGGTGCTGTTTCCATGATAGTGAGTTCTCAAAAGAAAAATGTAGTTATTTAAAAGTGTGTGGCACCTTCCACTCCATCCCCCACTCTCTCTCTCTCTCTTGCTCCTGCTTTCACCATGTGAACTGCCTGCTCCTGGTTCACTTTCTGCCATGAGTAAAAGCTCCCTGAGGCCTCCTTAGAAGCAGATGCTGCTATGCTTCCTGTATAGCCTGCAGGACCATGAGCCAATTAAACCTCTTTTCTTATAAATTATCCAGTCTCAGTTATTTCTTACAGCAATTCAAGAATGGCCTCATACAACATTCTTGGAAAAATAGGCTTCATGGCCTAATTAGAGATTGCACATGATCAAAAGTTGTCCAGAATGAAATACATGTGAAATACTATAGGTTAAAACAAGATAAAGTTTCTTTTTTTTAATTTCCCCCTCTGCAGGACTTCCCAGAGTCTTCATATTTAGAAATGTTAAAACTCAAGAAAGGAAAATATACAGAGAATCCCTTACATACTTCCTTATGAAACTTTTCTTTGCAAATCATCTCAAAAGACTTGTGTTTTATGGAATATATTTTGGGAAATATTGATTTTCATGCCAGTCACTATATTATACTAATGTCTGCAGTGCACATAAAAATTATCTGAGGGAAGATTTTAAACAATTGGGGTGTCTGGGTCCAATTCAGATCAAGTGTATCAGAATCTCTAAGGATATAGCCTACAAAATAATATATTTTTTAAAGCTCTAAAGTAATTTTAGTGTTTTAAATATCCTTTTTATATATATATAAAGAATGCTTTAAACTGAAACAGTTTTAGAGTTGTACATTGTAGCAGCTTTATGCTGCTAATGGAAATTTGAAGTATATTTTTATATGGTTAATTTAGTATAATTTTTACAGCTTTTAAATGAAACCATCAGTGTCATTAGATTCTGGGAAAAACATATCAAAATATAACTGCCATATAATAATATAAGAGCTCTTGGGTGAACAAACTATAAGATTTTTAATACAAACAAAAAAACTAAAAGCTCAGCTTTAAATTGCAATAGCTAAGCTGCAGTAAAATCAAATCTAATATAAACCAGTGATCTTAGTGCTGCTACAGGTCTAGCATTTATCAGAAAATTTTTTTAGATTTTAGATATTTTTGACCAAAGATCAAAGTGTTCAGTTAAGTAGAAAAATTCTTTGACCTTGTTCCCTTCCTAATATGAAGTATAGAAGTGTGTAAAATTTCTCATTTAAGAAAAAACTCAACACAGTGCTTTTGATCTTGACAGTATTTCAGAAGCAGAAATATTTTCCAATTCCATTCTCAGTTGGTTATTCTTAAAATATACATAAAAATAATCTGTTTGCTGGAGAAAAAATACAAAAAGAAAATGAGGATATAGAACAGAACAGTTAATACCTTTACCAAACCTGAGGTTAACTTCAACTAGTAACTTTTAAGTTTTCATTGAATTTCAAAACTGTGGTTGCATCTTGTGGCCGGGCGCAGTGGCTCACGCCAGTAATCCCAGCAATTTGGGAGGCCAAGGCAGGCGGATCACCTGAGCTCAGGAGTTCGAGACCAGCCTGGCCAACATGGCAAA
Source organism: Homo sapiens (assembly GCF_000001405.40). Taxonomy (NCBI): domain Eukaryota; kingdom Metazoa; phylum Chordata; class Mammalia; order Primates; family Hominidae; genus Homo; species Homo sapiens. The sequence continues at coordinate 85,902,797 of NC_000004.12, read as the reverse complement.
AACTCGTCTTTAATAAAAATACAAAAATTAGATGAGCGCAGTGGCGGGCACCTGTAATCCCAGCTACTTAGGAGGCTGAGGCAGGACAATCGCTTGAACCTGGGAGGCGGAGGTTGCAGTGAGCCAAAATCGCACCATTGCACTCCAGCCTGGGCAACAGAGTGAGACTCCGGTTCAAAAAAATAAAAAATAAAAAACAGATGTATGATCCAGCCCAAGGGGAACATGTCACAAATGACAGGCCATGATTACCAGACCATGGAGGTTTTACTTTCTTCTCTCAGCCAACCTTAAATATGAGTGGTCACTTAAAAGCTGGAAGGTTATTTGAGACAGGGAACTATGGTGTTGTATCAATTTGCAATGGAATGGGGAAGTGTAAAGGCACTGGGTCCACTCAATGCAACCATTTGGAAACAAACTTCTTGGGAAAGAAAATACAGTCTCTAAATGCCATAGATCTGTAGGCTCTAGTTGTTAGTCTGCGCCCTATCTGATCTTTATAGAGATTTTAAACATCTTCAGGGGTCTCTACCACAATGGTGGTTTGACATATTAAATTTGCCATGAAGAATAGGGTTCAGTCACTATCACCCAAATACCATTTAAAGTGTGACAGATACGCAGCCATAAAAAAGAATGAGTTCATGTCCTTTGCAGGGATATGGATGAAGCTGGAAGCCATCATTCTCAGCAAACTCACACAAGAACAGAAAACCAAACACTGCATGTTCTCACTCATAAGTGGGAGCTGAACAATGAGAACACATGGACTCAGGGAGGGGACCATCACATACCAAGGCCTGTTGGGGGGTGGAGTGCAAGGGGAGGGAGAGCATTAGAACAAATACCTAATGCATGCGGGGCTTAAAACCTTGATGACGGGTTGATAGGTGCAGCAAACCACCATGACACATGTATACCTATGCAACAAACCTGCATGTTCAGCACATGTATCCAGAACTTAAAGTAAAAAAAAACAAAAAAAAATGTGGCAGATAGATTGCCAACAGACCAGACCATCTCTTCTGGTTAGTAAAGCTACAATAAATATTTACTTTCTGTATGGCAAATAAATTACCCCTTGGTTGCAAGTTGAACATTCTTGGAGTATAAGTATTACAATAAAGAGGGTGAAGCAATTGGTAAGTTATGTCATTTAGCAACTTTCCCATGTATGATCTCAAGCTCTGAGTAAATAAAATGTACCTCCCAAGAAGGCAAACTATAGCCTAACATATGTTATTGATCCTACTCAAGTTTTCAATATGTTGTCATATTTAAGATTCTAAAATATCATGTAAAATTCTGAACACCCAACATCAAATGTCCTACTGGTCTACTATGTGGTAGGCAATTAGAATATGAGAGATGACATTTCTTATGGTTTTGTCAGTTTTTTTTTTTTGTTGTTTGTTTGTTTGTTTTCCCTCTTGGGCTTCCATAATGAATACTAACTAGAAACAAATCACCATAACTTTCTTGCTACTTCTCCTTTAATATAAGGGAGTTACAGCAAGTTAAAATGAAGGCAGGTCTCTGATTAGTCTGCAACTCAGATTGGTAAATCATTTGTTTTTCTTATTTTTTTCTAATATATTTCTAGTACCAAACAGAATAGAAAGTATGAGTGAAGTGAAGGAGAACACCAATCATTCAATCCCTACTTAAAGAAAAGAGCTTGGTCTCACATCAAAATTGGCCAGTGCATATATAATTAAATGTTTCAAATTGATATAAAATATCTATGTTATGTATGTATCACTTCACAGTTTCTCACTTTAACTAAAATTTTAAGTGGACCAATAAATTGAACATCTGCCAGTCTGGATATGGTGACTAAGACAGCATCAGTTGTGTGGCCATGACGTTATATCAGTTTATCCTTCTAAAAGAACCCATCCTTTTCTGCTATTGCAAGAGAACAGTCAACAGTGTGGAGTTCAAACATGAGTGGAACTTGGAAGATTGATTGTGTTCAACGCAAAACCACCAGCCCTGGAAGCCCAGTTTCAACATTTCTGATTTCCAGGAGAATCCCTTGCCTTTGTGGTGCGAAGAACGGTCTTCCCAGCCGGGCGCAGTGGCTCACCCCTGTAATCCCTGTACTTTGGGAGGCCGAGGCAGGTGGATCACCTGTGGTCAGGAGTTTGAGATCAGCCTGGCCAATATGATGAAACCCCATCTCTAATAAAAATACAAAAAATTAGCTGGGCATGGTGGCACGTGCCTGTAATCCCAGCTACTCAGGAGGCTGAGGCAGAGGTTGCAATGGGCCGAGATCATGCCATTGCACTCCAGCCTGGGCAACAAGAGCAAAACTCCATCTCAAAAAAAAAAAAGAATGCTCTTCTATCTGAAAAAAGTATATGTATTAAAAATGACCTGCAGGATAAGGCATCTTTAAATTCTGTATATTACTTAGTTTTTCCTGTAAATGCATACTATTTGTGTTTGCCACATACTCTATCCCTTCACAAGCTGTCAGCTGAAATGATTGGCCAACACTGTCAGATACTCCCTGAATAGTGGTGGGGAGAACATATACTGATAGAATACTGATATTGATAATTGATAATATTGATGTTGATAATAATAATTGATATTAAGAATATGCAAATATATAGATTAGCAGGTAGACATAGTCAGATATCTGTTATAAATACATTATTATACTTTCTGATTACTTCAATTTTACTTTGCACCACAGGTTGACAGCATAAACATTTTAATATACAAATTATTTTTGTTCCTCTGGTTTCTTTGTTATATTAGCCATCTTAATGTTGTAGAACATAGTAGATATTACTCCACAAATATCTTTGTAATCTTATTCTGTGAATAGCTTTATTATTTGAGCTTCATCACATTTTGTATTATCTTAATGAATATGAATTACTTTTTACTTTTTATTGAGACTAGGTCTCTCCCTACATTGCCCAGGCTGGTTTCAAACTCTTAGGCTCAAGTCATCCCCTTGCCTCTGCTTCCCAAAGTGTTGGGATAACAGGGGTGAGCCACCATGCTCAGCCTGAATTACTTTTAAATGCTATTACATAATACAGATGGAGATACTGAAGTTCAAGGTTGTTTGGGGTTTTGAACAGCACTGGAAAGAAGCTACACTTACAAATTTACTGTTTGGTTTCGGTTTAATATTACTTGGGAGTTGACCAGATGATATCTCAAAGTATATTTTGTCTCCAGAGCTTGTAATTTTTGCTGCATTGCAATCTCACTTCATTATCAGTGAATTCTATCTTAACACCCATTGCCTATTAAAATAATGTATCTACCTTATTTGTCCTTGGTGATTCTGTTTCTACGTAATAAAAATATTCATATAAAAGTAAAGAAAAGAATTAGTGACCTCTGGAAATGTGTGGGTAAAGCAACACTAGGATCTAAAAGGTACTACTGAGCATTGTTTATAGCACAAAGTCATTTACTGATTAACTGACCTTGTCTGCAAGGGAGCTAAATTTCTATTTTGGTTACCCATATGGTTTTGTTCTTTTTAAATTTGCATTCTGTAAATGCATTTCAAGCTATCTATCTAATGTAGATCCTTTTATTCCCTTCAAATATTTTTTCTTTACAAAATACAGATTTCCCAAAACTAAAATAGTTTTTACCTTGAAGACATTACTCATTAGCTTGTGCTTTAAAAATTCCCAGAAAAGGTATCTGATTAATTTTTTAAGTGCAAAACTTGATATACTTATATCTTTAGTCATTAAAAAATGTATACACAGGCTGGGCATGGTGGCTCATGCCTGTAATCCCAGCACTTTGGCAGGCCGAGGTGGGTGGGTCACCTGAGGTCAGGAGTTCGAGACTAGCCCGGCCAACATGGTGAAACTCCATCTCTACTAAACATACAAAAATTAGCCAGGCATGGTGGTGGACACCTGTAATCCCAGCTACTTGGGAAACTGAGGCAGGAGCATCACTTGAACCGGGAGGCGGAAGTTGCAGTGAGCTGAGACAGTGCCATTGCACTCCAACCTGGGCAACAAGAGCAAAACTCCTCAAAAAAAGAAAAAAAAATAATGTATGCACATATTAAATCCCAGTAATTCTTATTGGAATCAATAACTGATTTGGGGATGTTTTTATTTTCTTAAGAGAAGTGGCAAACCAACAAAATCCCAATGCTGCCAGCTATTCAACTATCCTGGTTAAATGTTGTTTGAAAGTGCGTCAGTCTTAACTCATGCTCACAGCCTGACATCCTTCTTTTTAAATGATTTACCAAATGCATGTTTTGATCTTAAAATAAATGTATCCTAGACTAACTCTATTCAGAATAGGCATCTCATCAGTTTCAGCCTGAGACAGTCATCTTGCTCTTTAATCAATGAAGAGTATGGATATAAATACGTGTCTAAGAGCCTGTATGCACCCTAGTTTAGGCATGAAGCTGCTAGTGATCTACGCTAAGGGAGAGGAAGAAACCACTGTTGACTAACAGTCACATTCCACAGGGAAGTCGCTGAAACTCCTTTCAGCTTACCTTCTCCATGTATGAGATGGAGATGGTTCTGTTTTCTATTGGCTGTTTTTCCAACAAGAATTGGAAGAGTTGGCTTAATAATAATAATAAAATAATAATAGTTAATAAGAAGGCATTCCAAAGGAGCTAGTAGCAATTCAGTACTTTTGGAGACAATTTCATTTAGTGACCTTCCAAAGTCTCCCCTCCCCACAAAAACATCCTAACCAATAAAAAAATAATTATATATATATATATATATATATATACACATATATGTGTGTGTATATATATATGTGTATATATATATATATATGTGTGTATTAGAGGTAAATTTCTATACAGGAAACATGTATCCCAGCTCCATCCTTACCTCCCACTCAACTCACAATGGACGCAGCCACACATTTGCGTGCACACACCCACCACTTTATCTCCCCCCTTGCTTGCTTCCTTCTTTCCCTCACTTATCTGATACTGCTAAGCTATGACTGCCCATCCATTGAAAAATAAAAGAAGGAAAATTGGAAATACCTGGGAAGATGCAATAAGCAATGGGAAAATGTCATAAATAAAGAAAAAGGAAGATAAATGAGAAAGAACAAGAAAGGGAGAAATAAATAAAAGAGTAAGAAAGGCAGCAATATGAGAGCCATGGGGAGACAGAACTGTAAAGCTGCTGGCTTCAGCGTTCAGCTGGCTTCATAGCCCTTTTAATTTTCTGTGAGCTTTTTGTCTCCATTTCTTTAGATATTTGAATACTTGTAAATTATGACTTGTATCAGAAAGTCAGTTGCTTCTTTTTTAGAAATTAGTAGTAATAATAATAATAACAATAATAAATAATGCCTTAACATTTTCCCATCAACAGGTGACTGAACCAGATAATCTTTTGGGATCACATATGAGTGAAGGAAATTCAGTACATTCATATATTTTTTAAAGTAGATAAACAAGTGAATAAGCAAAACAAAATATATTTGTGTGCAGACTGTGGAGTGATTTTTCCTTCACATTTGTCTTTTGATTTAATATTTCCTTGAGGTGGTTGGTGCTTCTGCTTGACAACAGATCAGTGTTCACACCAGCATTGAGGCAAAGAGCAGGGCCAGGCTGGGAATGATTTGATGCATCATTTTATAGCCTTTCAAGAACTCATCCTATGGGAAGAGACAGTGGGACATTCAAGTCTTTTCATGGGAATGGCTAACTGCTGACAAAGAAAGAAGGCCCATGTGGTTGTAGTGGGCAGTACCTTTTACTCATAAAGTTCTCAGTATGCTGCACGTGCAATGCCCAAGGTGAAAAAGTTGCAATAAAGACAGGATGAAGTCTAAAAGAGATTTTTTAAACCAAACTCCATGTTTGTCAGAGACTGACACTTTATAGCCAGTGCTCACGGGGTATAAATATGTGCTCTACTATGGGAGCATGATAGGTTATGAAAATAACAGAATGTCTTGAGCAGCAACCCAGACCAATCTACATTCAAAGAGAGAAATGAGACAGAATATCACATTTATGGGACATTCAACAGAGGCTCCCCAAACAGAAAGAATGACTATTGCAATATTGGGGGCTGAGAGGACAATTGAAATGCAAGCATGAAACACTGCTACGGCCTCTGAGCATCAGTAGAAGAGGGAGGCAGTAAAAGGGGTAAGTGTCTTGGATATAGATTTAGCCCTATGTCTCCCAAATAAATGAGCAATTAAATAAATGTACAGTGTTTGCTATGCAAGTGAAACTTCAAGAAGAAGAATCCAGCATCCTCTTCTAAATACAGTATATTCTACCCATTAGCCACTTCTACAAAGAAATTCTACGACACTATAAGAAGAGACTTAAGGAGGCTAGGATTCCCAGCATGGGATTGCAGAAAAGGTTTAAAACAAAAGAAGTATTGTTTTTTTGGTAGGATATGGCCACAGGAGATATAAATGGCAGTTTTATTCAAGATCAGGGAAGAAGAGAAATCTTTTAAGATAATATAGTAATACAGAACTACTTAAAAACTAATCGTAAACATAAAAAAGTAATATTAACTGGATAGATTGCAAAATAATGTTGGCTTCCTAAAATCAAAAAGTTAAACTACATCAGGTACTTCTGTTGCAACTGCATCCTTTCATTAAAACATAGAAATTGAGTTTAAATATCCCACCAAATTTTCTGTTTGTTTAGCAATACTTGGTATCAACAAATATGGGTTTACTTAGGACTGGTAGTTCTTTCTGTTCTTGTGTTTTTGTTTCAATAAAGTAATTATTCTTCTGCATTTAGTCACTGAAGCCATTAACTTTATGGCGAAGTACCCTCTACCATGGAATTAACGTAATTGATCACTACAAACAGTGAGATCTATAAACAACCTCTGAAACAGAGAAATGACCTATAAATCTTTCAGACAGGTTTTGAGATCTGGCATTAAATTTCCATATTATCAGGTAGGCAGCCTAGAAACAAAACACTGAGAAATAACATGTAAATGGTCTAACACTAATAGCACTGAAGCTGGCTTTTTGCTCCATAGTCTGCTACGTGCAAGTAGTGTAAAATTCTCACAAAACACCCTTCATCCATACACTAGATATTTGTGCCTAGAATCACCTCTAATTTCAAAAAGGGTACAGAAAAAAGTCAGACTGAATTTTTGTCAAGGTATTCAAAATAAGAAATATGAATTTTGCCTTAAAACATTATTAATGTAGACCATGAAACATCAATAGCTGCAAAAAAATAGAAATTTTCCCCCCAAAAGATATTTTTTTCCTCAGGAAAACAAGCACAAAAGATGAGAAATCTAGCTGCTCAGAGTGTATGGAATGAATTCCATGTTCATTTATGAGTGCCTTCCATGAGTGTCCTGCTAGCTGAAGCCCAGGTGATCTACTTTGGGATAAATGACTTTAATGTGAACAACTGGCCATAGTGTAGATAAATTTCCATAGACTGAGCCAGTTCTGGTTCTAAACTCTTCAGTGTAAAACTTCCGATGGTGAGCTACAGAAGCTGGAAGTAGTAAGTAAACTATGTCCTTTATTTTTATTCCTTTAGCAATTCTGTTTCTTTTACATGCTAAATATATTACTTTTATTTTAATAGTTTTTTGGGGGTACAGGTGGTTTCTGGTTACATGGATAAGTTCTTCAGTGGTGATTACTGAGATTTCTGTGCAGTAATCACCCAAGCAGTGTACAGTGTATGCATTACATAGTCTTTTACCTCTTACTCCGTCCCGATCTTCCCTCGTGAGTCCCCAAAATCCTGCTTTTCTTTTCTTTTTTTTTTTTTTTTTTTTGCTTTTTGTTTTGTTTTTTTTTTTTTTTTTTTTTTTTTTTTGAGAGGGAGTCTCATTCTGTTGCCCAGGCTAGAGTACAGTGGTATGATCTCTACTCACTGCAACCTCTGCCTCCTGGGTGCAAGAGATTCTCCTGCCTCAGCCTCCTGAGTAACTGGGATTACAGGCATGTGACTCCACGCCCAGCTAATTGTGGTATTTTTAACAGAGACAGGCTTTTGCTACATTGTCCAGGCTGGCCTCTAACTCCTGAGCTCAAAGTGATCCACCCACCTCGGTCTCCCAAAATGCTGGGATTGCAGGCATGAGCCACCTCACCTGGCTCCCAAAGTCCATTATATCATTTTTATGCCTTTGCATCCTCATCCTGCTAAATACTTTAATGAATAATGTGGGGTTTGCTCATTAGCTGTTATTAAATTCCTTAGTGATTCAACTTTGCTTAGAGTTGATAAAGGAAAATAAACAAAATGTTCACTATCAATCTTGTCTGATCTGGATGATCTTGTGCCTTCAAAGAACAAGAGCAACAGAAGAATTAAGCTGTAGAGGAGAAGAGAGAGTTGACTATACACCTTTTTCTTGGATCCATCCTTACTTCTACTTCTCTGGCTGTTTTTTCCTCATCCTGTCCTTTTGGTATGTCTTCTACCTTCCCTATAAATAGTGACCCTCTTCTTGTGTGAGACTCTTTCTGAAGAATCTTATTTGCTCCTGTAAGCTTGGTCATTAACCCTGGTGTGAAGGTTCCTAATTTGACATCTCCCTCTCTTCTCTCTTTTGCCATCCAGATGTACTATATTAACTTTAAACACAGAATATCCCCAAATAAGAATCACCATTTTCACCCACAAACCTGCATTTTTCTCTTGCCTTCCTGAAATCTTTTTTTTTTTTTTTTTATTATACTCTAAGTTTTAGGGTACATGTGCACATTGTGCAAGTTAGTTACATATGTATACATGTGCCATGCTGGTGCGCTGCACCCACTAACGTGTCATCTAGCATTAGGTATATCTCCCAATGCTATCCCTCCCCCCTCCCCCCACCCCACCACAGTCCCCAGAGTGTGATATTCCCCTTCCTGTGTCCATGTGATCTCATTGTTCAATTCCCACCTATGAGTGAGAATATGCGGTGTTTGGTTTTTTGTTCTTGCGATAGTTTACTGAGAATGATGGTTTCCAATTTCATCCATGTCCCTACAAAGGACATGAACCCGAGAGAGAAAGGTCCGGTTACCCTCAAAGGAAAGCCCATCAGACTAACAGCGGATCTCTCGGCAGAAACCCTACAAGCCAGAAGAGAGTGGGGGCCAATATTCAACATTCTTAAAGAAAAGAATTTTCAACCCAGAATTTCATATCCAGCCAAACTAAGCTTCATAAGTGAAGGAGAAATAAAATACTTTATAGACAAGCAAATGCTGAGAGATTTTGTCACCACCAGGCCTGCCCTAAAAGAGCTCCTGAAGGAAGCGCTAAACATGGAAAGGAACAACCGGTACCAGCCGCTGCAAAATCATGCCAAAATGTAAAGACCATCGAGACTAGGAAGAAACTGCATCAACTAATGAGCAAAATCACCAGCTAACATCATAATGACAGGATCAAATTCACACATAACAATATTAACTTTAAATATAAATGGACTAAATTCTGCAATTAAAAGACACAGACTGGCAAGTTGGATAAAGAGTCAAGACCCATCAGTGTGCTGTATTCAGGAAACCCATCTCACGTGCAGAGACACACATAGGCTCAAAATAAAAGGATGGAGGAAGATCTACCAAGCCAATGGAAAACAAAAAAGGCAGGGGTTGCAATCCTAGTCTCTGATAAAACAGACTTTAAGCCAACAAAGATCAAAAGAGACAAAGAAGGCCATTACATAATGGTAAAGGGATCAATTCAACAAGAGGAGCTAACTATCCTAAATATTTATGCACCCAATACAGGAGCACCCAGATTCATAAAGCAAGTCCTGAGTGACCTACAAAGAGACTTAGACTCCCACACATTAATAATGGGAGACTTTAACACCCCACTGTCAACATTAGACAGATCAACGAGACAGAAAGTCAACAAGGATACCCAGGAATTGAACTCAGCTCTGCACCAAGCAGACCTAATAGACATCTACAGAACTCTCCACCCCAAATCAACAGAATATACATTTTTTTCAGCACCACACCACACCTATTCCAAAATTGACCACATAGTTGGAAGTAAAGCTCTCCTCAGCAAATGTAAAAGAACAGAAATTATAACAAACTATCTCTCAGACCACAGTGCAATCAAACTAGAACTCAGGATTAAGAATCTCACTCAAAGCCGCTCAACTACATGGAAACTGAACAACCTGCTCCTGAATGACTACTGGGTACATAATGAAATGAAGGCAGAAATAAAGATGTTCTTTGAAACCAACGAGAACAAAGACACCACATACCAGAATCTCTGGGACACATTCAAAGCAGTGTGTAGAGGGAAATTTATAGCACTAAATGCCTACAAGAGAAAGCAGGAAAGATCCAAAATTGACACCCTAACATCACAATTAAAAGAACTAGAAAAGCAAGAGCAAACACATTCAAAAGCTAGCAGAAGGCAAGAAATAACTAAAATCAGAGCAGAACTGAAGGAAATAGAGACACAAAAAACCCTTCAAAAAATCAATGAATCCAGGAGCTGGTTTTTTGAAAGGATCAACAAAATTGATAGACCGCTAGCAAGACTAATAAAGAAAAAAAGAGAGAAGAATCAAATAGACACAATAAAAAATGATAAAGGGGATATCACCATAGATCCCACAGAAATACAAACTACCATCAGAGAATACTACAAACACCTCTATGCAAATAAACTAGAAAATCTAGAAGAAATGGATACATTCCTCGACACATACACTCTCCCAAGACTAAACCAGGAAGAAGTTGAATCTCTGAATAGACCAATAACAGGCTCTGAAATTGTGGCAATAATCAATAGTTTACCAACCAAAAAGAGTCCAGGACCAGATGGATTCACAGCCGAATTCTACCAGAGGTACAAGGAGGAACTGGTACCATTCCTTCTGAAACTATTCCAATCAATAGAAAAAGAGGGAATCCTCCCTAACTCATTTTATGAGGCCAGCATCATTCTGATACCAAAGCCGGGCAGAGACACAACCAAAAAAGAGAATTTTAGACCAATATCCTTGATGAACATTGATGCAAAAATCCTCAATAAAATACTGGCAAACCGAATCCAGCAGCACATCAAAAAGCTTATCCACCATAATCAAGTGGGCTTCATCCCTGGGATGCAAGGCTGGTTCAATATACGCAAATCAATAAATGTAATCCAGCATATAAACAGAGCCAAAGACAAAAACCACATGATTATCTCAATAGATGCAGGAAAAGCCTTTGACAAAATTCAACAACCCTTCATGCTAAAAACTCTCAATAAATTAGGTATTGATGGGACGTATTTCAAAATAATAAGAGCTATCTATGACAAACCCACAGCCAATATCATACTGAATGGGCAAAAACTGGAAGCATTCCCTTTGAAAACTGGCACAAGACAGGGATGCCCTCTCTCACCGCTCCTATTCAACATAGTGTTGGAAGTTCTGGCCAGGGCAATCAGGCAGGAGAAGGAAATAAAGGGTATTCAATTAGGAAAAGAGGAAGTCAAATTGTCCCTGTTTGCAGACGACATGATTGTTTATCTAGAAAACCCCATCGTCTCAGCCCAAAATCTCCTTAAGCTGATAAGCAACTTCAGCAAAGCCTTCCTGAAATCTTGTTTGAAATTTACTCTCGTCCCAATGTAGTATAACGTCCCCCTTAGGTCCTAGACCTACTCAGTCATTTAGTCATATTAGCACTACTTCCAAAATCTCTGTCCAGTTTACATCCCCACCATGCTGACT